>NC_000003.12:197329562-197480561 GCF_000001405.40 Homo sapiens
ACACATTTTCTGTGCTTTACAGCTTCTTCAGTGATTGTTTAATTGTGAACATATCGGCATGTGATTTGAGGTCAGCTGTTTGTTCCCTGGGTGGTACAGCCAATCCATAATCTTGATAGGGAGAAATCTCACTAAAGTGCAAGCTGTAAGTTCTAGGCTGCCAACGAATACTCTTCCTCTCTTCAAATCTTCTGTCTATCATGAAAAAAATTCTCAAACTGTTTACCTTTCCCTGAATATTACTGAGAATATATTTTTAAAGGCATGATTCTCTTCTTCATTGCCTCATTTGCTATCACTCTTCCTCATTGCTCTCCTGCATTACTTTTCTTCATTACTTTGAAAAAGGCAGACAGGCAAACAAAAGAAAATGGTCTCTAATGCTACCACCCAAAGATAATCACAATTAATATTTTGGTGCAGAGTCTTCCAGGCTGTTTGAGAGAGGTTTCGGTTTGTTTGTTTGTTTTTGCTTTATTGGTTTTTTTTTTGTAATAAACACCAAAAGAAACTGAAAATAAATTTTGCCAGAGTTTTAAAGTGATGCCGTCTTCTAAAAAAATTTTTTTGCTAAGCTAAAACCACATAAAATAAGATTTTCTTTCATTTAATGTTTTCAGTTTGCCACCAGTATACATACAGCTAAAGTGGGCCATCAGTCTATGGGAAAACGGGCAAATTTTTTGCTTTTTTTGGGATGGAGTTTCACTCTTGTTGCCCAGGCTGAAGTGCAATGGTGCAATCTCGGCTCATTGCGACCTCTGCCTCCCGTGTTCAAGCGATTCTCCTGCCTCAGCCTCCTGAATAGCTGGGATTACAGGCATGCGCCACCACACCTGGCTAATTTTGTATTTTTAGTAGAGAGGGGGTTTCTCCATGTTGGTCGGGCTGGTCTTGAACTCCTGACCTCAGGTGATCCACCCACCTCGGCCTTACAAAGAAAATGGGCATTTTCAAGAAAAATATGTGGACTTCTGCCGTTTCAAAGTCTGTTACAAGAATGCTTTGACCGATTCCACTTGTCTCATTTCTGTACCTCCCAGATCATCCTCCACCCAACTCCAGCTCTTTTTTTTTTAAATTTAAATTTTTAGTTTTTTGAGATGGAGTCTCACTCTGTTGCCAGGTTGGAGTGCAATGGCATGATCTTGGCTGACTGCAACCTCTGCCTCCTGGGTTCAAGCGATTCTCCTGCCTCAGCCCCCACCCCGAGTAGCTGGGATTACAGGCACGCGCCACCACGCCCAGCTAATTTTTGTATTTTTAGTTGAGATGGGGTTTCACCATGTTGGCTGGGATGGTCTCGATTTCCTGACCTCATGATCTACCGGCCTCAGCCTCCCAAAGTGCTGGGATTACAGGTGTGAGCCACCGTACCTGGCCTTCCAACTCTTCTCAAACCCTCACTCCAGGATCCCTTGTCTGCTTGTCTTGCTTACAATTTTGCTTCTGAGGGAAGAGAATAGAGTCAAAGGGATGAGATTGGAAGCAAATACACCCAAATATTAATAGGGGTCAACTCTGGTCAATTGAAACACAGGTGTTGGTTGTATTAGTTTCTGTATTCTTACAGATATTTTTAAAGTTCTAGATATTAACAAAACAAAGCTAATAAAAGATATGGTCTCTGTGTTCCAGGAGCTCAGGGTCTGGTCATGTGTAATCAATTACAGTAAATTCAAGACTTGCAAACAGATCTGTCCTCTAGAGGGCTTTCTAATGAGGTTAGTACAAGGTGCTAGACTCTAGCAGCTATAGGAACACAGAGCATGGAGTATACTCCCCCTCCACGTTTCCTTGGAGAATGTAGAGAGGCTTCTGCGAAGAGGCAAAGCCTGACTTGAGGCTTGGAGGATGAGTAGTTTTCCATGGTTTCCAGTGCAGGTAGGAGTGTGCTGCAGAAAGCCCTGATACATGTAAATCAGACTCGGAGACCAAATCATATGCTTGGGGAAGAGAGACTATTTTCGGTATGGCTGGGGTTGTTCTGTGTCAGCAGATAAACTTGGAGAAGTGGTGAAGAGTCCCATGGGTCAAGCTGCCCAATGATTGATGAGAAACCAATGAAATAAGGGAAGGCTATAATATGACTTTTGTGTTAGCAACATCCTTCAGGGGATGTTGTGGAATATAGAGGAGGAATGGAGGCAGAGAGACCACTTAGGAGGCTGCCGCCACGGTCGAGGTGAGAGATGATGATGGTCTGTAAGAGGGCAGTGGCAGAGAGCAAACGGGGACAGATGAAAAATCTTTAGAAGATAGAATCTAACCTGCAAGGAGACAAATTAGATGTGGGGGTTGCGGGAAGGAAGAGGACAAAATCAAGAGCCACTGCTGGGTTTCTGACTTGAGTATTGGGTTGGATGGTGGGGTAAATTCACTGGGATTGGGAAGAGTAGAAATGGAGAGGGAACAAATGAGTAAAATTTGCAACATGCGGCTGGGCGCGGTGGCTCACGCCTGCAATCCCAGCACTTTGGGAAGGCGAGGCGGGCAGATCACGAGATTAGGAGTTCGAGACCGGCCTGACCAACATGGTGAAATCCTGTCTTTACCAAAAATACAAAAAAATTAGCTGGGTGTGGTGGCGCATGCCTGTAACCCCAGCTACTCAGGAGGCTGAGGCAGGAGAATTGTTTGAACTCGGGAGGCAGAAGTTGCAGTGAGCCGAGATCATGCCACTGCACCCCAAAAATAAATACATAAATAAATAAAAAATCTGCAACATGCTGATCTTGGGAAACCTGTGGTACATCTTGCTTGGAGTTGCCCAAGAGACCATGAAGCATAGAGATTGGAGTGAGCTCAAGAAAGTATTCTCTCTAAGCTAGAGGAAGACTCATCAAGCAGATGCCACCTTGGCTGAGGTCATTGAAGACGAGGTGTTGAAGATGTCCTGGGAAGACTGAGGGAGGGAGAAGAACAGAGGCTGGAGCTCTAATGGAGCTCAACATTTAAGGATCATGGAGGGGAAGGGGAGGCTGTGAAAGAGACTGAGTGGGTGGTCCAAGGGGAGGGAGGATGATCAGGAGAGAGCCACGTCAGTCAATGTTACATCTGCTTAAGAAGAAGATCATTTTAAGAAGGAAGGAACAGTCACCAGGTTAGAGCAAGCAGATAAGTCTAGTAAGACACAGCGTTGCTAGATAAAATACAGCATGTCCAGTTAAATTTGCATTCAGATAGAAATGAATACTTTAAAAATATTGTTTAATTAACACATTTTTTATTTTAATTTTTGTGGGTACCTAGTAGGTGTATATCTTAATGGGGTACATGAGATGTTTTGACACAGGCCTGCACTGTGAAATGATCACATCATGGAGAATGGGGTATCCATTCCCGCAAGCGTTTATCCTTTGTGTTACAAACAATCCAGTTACGCTCTTTTAGTTATTTAAAAATGTACAATAGAGCTATTATGCCTACGGTCACCTCGCTGTGCTATCAAATAGTAGGTCTTATTCATTCTTTCTATTTTTTGTACCCGTTAACCATCCCCACCTTCCCCAAAATGAATACTTTTTAAGTATAAGTATGTATATTACTTTGACTTGCTAAGTATGGGAACCCTAGTAAGAGAAAGACTAAAATCTGCAAGTAGATATGGTAGTTAAAGCTAAGTCAGAGGACTGCAGGGAGCAGATGCAGGCGGGGACTGGGAGGTGATACATGTCAATCAATCTTCCTGGAAACCAGGATTTGAAGCAAAGGGGTAGGGGACAGGCTTAAGACACGAAGAATTTTCTTTCTTTCTTCTTCTTTATTTTTTTTTTTATATACTTTAAGTTCCAGAATACATGTGCAGAACATGCAGGTTTGTTACACAGGTATACATGTGCCATGGTGGTTTGCTGCACCCATCAACTCGTCATCTACATTGGGTATTTCTCCTAATGCTATCCCTCCCCTTGCCCCCGACACCCCGACAGGTCCCATTGTGTGATGTTCCCCTCTAAGACAGGGAGAATTTTCTTAAGGGGAGCAGACATTTCATATTGTCATTTTCTCCCCTCCCCGCCACCACCAGCAGCCAGGAACCACGTGAGGTTTAAGACCATGTCTTAGTTATTTTTGTAATCAAAGCTCTGACCTGACCAGGGCCTTCCTTTTGTGCATCAGGAACTCAATGCATGTTTACTAAATTAAATCCTTAGACTAGATTTCTCCAAGCCAATTGTAAATAACTGAGGTAATCAAGGAGGTGCATTACTTTTGTGTCTACCTGAAATTTATGACCCAACATATTTTGGGCACATGTAGTTTACATTGATGAGAATGATCTGTGGAATTGCGTCTGCTCTCTACGTCTACTTACCGATGAAGGCAGAGTCTTTAATCCTAGAGGCCAGTGTCCCTTCTTCCACCTACCAGTGTATAGTAGAAGCAGCAGCAGCAGCAGCAGCAGCAGCAGCAGCAGCAGCAGGAGCTAGGAATCTCTTAATTGCTTTGTGCTTGTCAAGATTATGCAACTTTCCAGGTGAGTAAAACAGATCCCAAAGGTCCGGCTGAGGGGGGAGAAAGAAAACCACCCTTGCACTAAACCGGCAGAGTAAGTCGTTCAAGAGGGTGTTTGGGGCCTGTGGGAAACTTCAGCAGCCTTCAGCCTGATCTGACATTTGCTGCTCCGCTTGGCTTACAAACTGCCTTTCTTCCCCTATGCAGCTAAGTGAAGTCTACTCACCCCAACGGAGGAATAAACCAACCGCAAAACAAACCTATTAAGAGGCTGCTCAAGCCTGCCTTAAGTGATCCAAAGCAGGGAACAAAGGCATGTGTGCTTTGAAAGAAAGATCTTCTGCATTTCTGCTCTGAAAACATTCTCAGGTCAACGTTGGAGATACCTGTGGGCTCTGCTTGCAGGGAGGGAGGAAGTAGGAGCTGGTGCTGAAGTGAAGGCTCAAGGACTCCTGTTCAGGCTGTTAGAGAATGCGGACCCCTGCATCCTATACTTTGATTTGCTAAGTATGGAAACCCCAGTAAGATAAAGACTAGGGTCTTTCTTCTTTCTTCCACCGTTAGACCCTGCCCCTGAAGCAGACCCTAGAGAAGATTAGAAGTCGATTCACCGGGGAGGCGACCCATAGCAGGGACCCGGTAGACCCTGGAGTGGGCAGGGTCTGTTGGTGAAAGAGGAAGGAGAAAAACGGTTAATTGGAAAAGCTTGGATTTTGAGGTTGGTTTAGACCTGTGTTCAAATCTCAGATCCACCTACTCTAGTTCTGTAGTATTGGGGTGTCTAAAATGGTGCTTAACAGAAAGCTTTAGTGCTGGATGCATTTGGGTTTAATTCCTGCTGCTACACGTGGACTCAGAGTGGTATTTTCCAAGATACCTTCCTTTTTCTTTTTTTTTTTTTTTTTTGGAGACAGGGTCTCACTCTTTCGCCCAGGCTGGAGTGCAGTGGTGTGATCGCGGCTCACTGCAACCTCCACCTCCCGGATTCAAGCAATTCTCCTGCCTCAACCTCCCAAGTAGCTCGGATTACAGGCGCCCGCCACCACGCCTAGCTAATTTTTGCATTTTTTAGTAGAGACGGGGTTTCACCATTTAGCCAGGCTGGTCTTGAACTCTTGACCTCAGATGATCCACCAGCCTCGGCCTCCCAAAGTGCTGGGATTACAGGCATGAGCCACCACGCCCGGCCCCCAGGACACCTTCCTTATATATTTTCCTTGCATCCATTTTGCCACTATGGCTCTAGGAAAGGGAAAATGATGAATGGCATCTCGGGAAAGAGGAGAATGTGGTATAGGAAGCAGATCTGTAAACAGCAGAGGGGACAGGAACCCTTTCAACATCAAGGTGGCATGGAGAAGGGGTTTGTGGGGAGTGGGAGGCAAGAGGGAAGGGAAGGAGGAGGGCAAGTGGCCAGACACTTGTGGCCTGGCTCACTGGCCGGGCCGAACCCACAGGGAGAAGATTAGAAGTGAGTTCAGCAGGGGGAATTTCCAAGAGTGGTTTGTATCCCCTCCTGCTAAAGAAATCCTGGGAGGAGACTGCCCTGCGGACGGCCTCACAGTGACCTGGGTGGCCTCGCGGAGAGACAGCTGGCCTGAGGAAGGACTACGCCTCGCCTCTGTGCTCCCCAGCCTGATCTGGAAGCCTCTGAGGGCCCACTGGGGAAAGCAGAAGGTCACTGAGAGGTCAGCTGAGGGCAGCAGTCCTCTATGGCAAGGGGGAGGTGACCCACAGCAGATGCTGTGACGATTGTCCACACCACAAGACACAGGTGGAGGCCCAGGTTGGCTGTACTGGGAAAAGCTGGGGCGGCACAGAACCAGCAGCAAGAAGAAGGGGAGAGGGGTGAACACCAGGCCTCAGATGAGCCCAGGGCCAAGAGAACAGACATGTCCTCTGGCACGGACTTTAGCTGCAGGTGTGAACTGGGCCCTGGGAGCAGGCACACGAGGGACTTCTCCTCCTAAGGTGGCGAGAACTCAGGGGATGGGACAAGGACTAGCCTTCCTGCAGGGAGGAGGGAAAGAGGAAAGCTCAGAGAAGGACAAACAGGCCTGGAAGGAAGTTTGAGCCTTGAATTATTGGAACACAGTACTGTTCAAAAGAAATAGACAACGGAAAAAACAAAGACAGAAACAGAAATTCTTTTTACCTCCCTTCCCCGGCAAAAAACATGAGATCTTTGACTTGACAAGTTTTTGTTTGTTTCCTGCTCTTCAGTGGGATTTGGGATTCTAGAGGACAAAATGATCAGTTACAGAAAACGAAGTACCCACCAATTATCCACATCTGATAGGCTGGGTATAAACTGACAGCCCTCACTCCATGAACTTTGTAAACTTGGGTTACCTACTTAATTTCTTCTAGCCTCAGCTTCTTCATCTACAAAATGAGAATCAGACTGCTTCATACGGGTTGTTGTGAGTATTACATGAAATGACACATGCCCAGCTCTCTGGGGAAAGTGCCCATGTAGCTGGACCCATTAATGGTTGCATAACATCGTTACTTAGCTTCCACGAGCTTCATTTTCTTCCTCTGTAACTAGGAACTGCGATATCTATCTCACACAGCAGGTATGCAGACAGTGTAACTTCTCTTTCCCTTCTACTCCCTGTCTGAAGAGTACAGTTTCTCTTTCTCAGCATCTCCAAATATATTAATCTCCCTTCATGTATTCACTCAATAGTATTTGCTGGGTTTCTGCTCTGTTCAGAGTTTTCTCCTGAGGGTTTCCAGGATGATGCATACGCAATGTTGATCCTTCTCAAAGAGCTTCCTAGTCAGCTGGTGGAGGGATAGGGGCTGGTATTCTTACTTCTTTATTATAGAAGGGAAAAATGATGAGACACACAGCAAAACCTCTGCGTTCACTTAGAAGAGGCAGCGTTTACTTCCAGTTAGAAGTGAGGGAGTGCTTCCCACATAACATGGCATTTGAACAGGGCCTTGCTGCCAGTATTGAGGGCAATGGGGAGACAGAAATAGATGAACTGGACCTTGAAAAATGAGAAATACTTGGCCATGTGGAGATTGGGGAGGGCAGTCTAGGCAAAGAATTGCACACACAATGGCACAGTGTAGGGTGTGATTTGAGAATGGGTGGGTGGTTCTCTGATCTGTGACTAGATCAGAGAAGGTAAGAGGTTAGGGGATAATAGTAACCTGAAGAGTTAGGTACAGGCCTGATATGATGGGTTCATGATGCTACCAAGCTAACAGTCATCGACTTGTCACGTTTCTAATATTATTTTGTGAAAGGAAGGAGAAGGGAGGAGGAGCTAGAATTTATTGAGCCCCAGATACATGCGAGCCCCTGCACTGAGACTACTGCTCTTTAGATAGTATGTCTACACCTCATGATCATGCTGGGAAGTAGATATTTACAGAGGGGGAAACTGAGGTTCAGAGAGGTTAAGTAACTCACTCAAGCTCACACAGCTAGAAAGTAGTCCATCCAGAATCAAATCTGGGTTTGTCTGATCCAAAGCCAGTGCTTCGAGGGCCTCCGTACTTACCTACTCCACCTGCTGCCTCATGGAAACACCCCTCTTTCCAGCTCCTGTGTTTATGGAAGTTATGTGTCATGTTCTGTTACCGATCAATTAGCAGGAAGGGTGGCCTTACCCAATCCGAGGAATTGAGGCTCAGTGGGGTGTTCTTTTTGGTTCTAGAATTCAAGATCATGGAAAACTGCCAGAAGGAAATGGGTCTTCTCCTCTCCCAAATGGTCCCATAACTAGTCTGGCCACCTTGAGCCATCCAAGAGGAGAATGTGGTCAGGGACCGTGACTCAGCTTAAGAAGGTAATGGGAGCTTACATGCGGAAAACCCCAAGATGCTTTCATCTGCTGTGTATTTATGCTCCATTAAGCCCCAGGGGATTATATTTTGAGGTGCCTCTTAAGTCAGGATATAGGATGGACTAATGTTTATTATTTGTGATAGGGTGCCTAAGGGAGAAGGCTCAGAAATGCCTGTCTCCTTAGCTGGAAGTGACAAAATGAGAACCGAGACATTTTGGTTTTTGCACCACAAAGCCTTTCTCTGGGGAATGAGACAAGATCGGAGCACATGAGCTTTGGAGAAGTGATGGATCCTTTCCTGAAACTGAGGCTCAGAGAGACATGCTGTCTTATCCAAGCTCATCAGATGGAAACAGGCAGAGTCAACATGGGAACCCAAGTATTATGGCTCCTGGCTTTCTTACTGAGCCGCACAAAGCAGAATACACTTACCTAACGGGAGCACTAAAAACTACTCTCTTAATGGGCTACAATTGGTTTTACTAGAAGCATCGATTTTTTTTTTTTTTTTTTTTTTGAGATGGAGTCTCGCTCTGTCGCCCAGGCTGGAGTGCAGTGGCGCGATCTTGGCTCATGCAACCTCTGCCTCCCGGGTTCAAACGACTCTTCTGCCTCAGCCTCCCCAGTAGCTGGGATTATAGGCACCCACCACCATGCCCGGCTAATTTTTGTATTTTTAGTAGAGACGGGGTTTCACCATACTGGTCAGGCTGGTCTCAAACTCCTGACCTTGTGATCTGCCTGCCTCAGCCTGCCAAAGTGCTGGCATTACAGGTGTGAGCCACCGCGCCCGGCAGAAACAATAGTAATATCTAGTCCAATTACCTCATTTATAGATGAGAACACTTAGGCTCAGAATAGGAAACTGACTTGCTTAAGGTCACAATAATTTTAGCAGTAGAGGCTGGTGTAGGTCACAGATCAGCTGCCTGTGGTCAGCACTGACAGCTCTTTCCACGAATGTTTAATATTAAGTTCCACTGACTGTGACATATATCTCTATCTCTGTCTACAGCTACATTTATATCTATATCTACACACATGTTCTACCGACTATGACCACACCACCATGGCCCATGCCCATACACCCACGTGTGAACCAAGAGGTAATCAGCCACTTCCTTACCTTTATTTTTTTATTTTTTTGTTTTTCATTTCTGAGAGAGTCTCATTCTGCCACCCAGGCTGGAGTGCAGTGGTGTGATCTTGGCTCACCACAACCTCTGCCTCCCGGGTTCAAGTGATTCTCCTGCCTCAGCCTCCCGAGTAGCTGGGGCCTCCCTGGCTCAAGCGATTCTCCTGCCTCAGCCTCCCGAGTAGCTGGGACTACAGGCGCACCCCCCACACCCAGCTAATTTTTGTATTTTTAGTAGAGACGGGGTTTCGCCATGTTGGCCAGGCTGGTCTTGATCTCCTCACCTCAGGTGATCCACCTGCTTCGGCCTCCCAAAGTGCTGGGATTACAGGCATGAGCCACCATGCCAGCCCACTTCCTTACCTTTAAACTGGCATATCTTTCCAGTTTTATAAAGGGGATAAAAATGTCTCTTAATTTTAAAGCATTTAAAAGCAACCAGTGAAAGAAAATCCCCAGATATTTGCTACCTTTTTTTCTTTCTCTTTTTCACATCAGGCAGGTAATGTGCCGATGACGACGTCTACAAGGTTTGAGGGAGGCACCTCTCAAAACCGAATCATCATGCTTGCAAACTACAAAAGACTCTTTCTTGGTACTTTTCTTGTTTGAAAGTACCTACATTTTGGGGCTCAAGACTCAGAAAGTCAGAGTGGAGAGTTGGGTGCCATGCTCCATTCTGCTTTTCCTGAAGTGCCTCAAATGCTAGGCAGAGTCCCTGCACTCTCCGTGATAGGAATCTCCTCTGTGGCCAAAATTGGGCCTCCGTTTTTTTCACCGCAGGAATATACATGTCCTCATGGCCGTCTCCTGCCTGGGCAGCAGCGAAGCCTCCCCAGACTGCTCTGCCCTGTGGAAGAAAAGGCCTAGGTCCTGCTGTTTTCCCAGTCTCCTTTCCTGGGAGGTGGCCATGACTCGCTCCCATTAACCTGGGCAGAGGCTGTTTCCCATCTCTTCCTGCATGAGTTACTTCATGGAGCCTCGGAGGAGGAGCCCTGGACTCTGCTCGCCTGGGATTCCTGCTGTTCTACCCACTGTCCACCCAGAAGCTCCCTTCCCCGGGTCTGACATGACTTTCTCTTCTGAGCCAGGCCCAGCAGGAAGGATGCGTTTGTGTTCGGCCCTGCATTCCTGCAGTGTCCCTCGGGTGTGTGGCTGGAAATGATTTGTGTAAGGCACTCAGCCAGCCTCCCTTTTAATCACTCCCATACTCACAGACAGAGGGAATCCCAGCCCCTCACCCAGGAGAGGGAAGGAACCTCCTTCATTTTGACAGGGCCTCCCTCCGTGGTGGGGTAAGCAGTGATTCTGGTCTCCAGGAAAGATGCTTCCAAGAGCCTCTTTCTCTGAGGCCTAATTATGAAATCGATATCTTCAGGAACCCCTCCTCCTTCCCTGGAGCTTCTGCAGGCAGACACTGCCCAGATAATGTTCAAACATGCATTGACCCGGCAGGGCTTCCTGAGCACCACTCTGGCTGGGGAGGAGGATGGGATCAGCTGGGCCTGGAAGAATGGGCAGGGTTTGCTTAGGACGTTTCGGGGAGGCAGATGGTGTAAGCTGGGGATGGGGTGAGGAAGGGAGAGAGTTAGGGGCAGCTTGAGGGAAATAGGGGTGTTTGTTGGGGAAGAGTGAGTGATGACTGGTCAGAGTCCCAACAGCAAACAGAGGACACAATTAAAATGGGATAGTTCCAGGATAGTTTATTTGCATAGGTGTGATCACAGGGAAACCACAAAGAATAGTGCAGTTAACTGGTCTTAGTAAGAGCCAAGGTGTTATCACCTCTAGGCACAAAGAGACAAAGACCAGAACAGAGAGTCCTGCAGAGCAACTTGACTTGGAAGGAACAGAAGACTTCAGTCCAGGGGCACAGTAAGCTGGAGGCAACCTTGCAGGGAGAGACCCAGGCAGAGCTGGATTTGTAGTGACGCTGGCGAAGTTTAAGCTTCAGGATCCCACGCTTGCACAGGTGACTTCCAAAGCCGGGAGGAGTTCTAGCGATGTATTCATATGTCACACATTTTGTAAATTTTGCAAAAGTAAGATAGTTTCATCCCAGTTTCCCTCCACTATACATATCTCATGGTTGGGTGGCTTTGGAGTCGTTGCGGGCATTTTTAGGATCTGGTTAAGGGGGAGATGGGTTTTGGTTTGGTTGGGTATATGTAAGTTGCTCACAGCCACTTTTTTTTTTCTTTAGGATGGAGTCTCACTCTGTCACCCAGGCTGGAGTGCAATGGTGCAATCTCAGCTCACTGCAACCTCCGCCTCCCGGGTTCAAGTGATTCTCTTGCCTCAGCCTCCCGAGTAGCTGGGATTACAGGTGTGCACCACCATAGCCAGCTAATTCTTGTATTTTTAGTAGAGATGAGGTTTTACCATGTTGTCCAGGCTGGTCTCGATCTCCTGACTTCAAGTGATCCGCCCACCTCGGCCTCCCAAAGTGTTGGGATTATAGGCATGAGCCACTGCACCCAGCCCACAGTCACTTCTGAATATACTTAATTCATCACTAGCTGTCCTGATGTCAAAATGGCTTTCAGGAATACTCTCACCTCCAACTCACCTGGTGTCATGACTTGAAGGTGATGACAGGTCATATTGCAATATGTATGTGGTTAGTGGAAGAGAACAGAGGTTTGTAAGGTATGGAACCAGAAGATAGCCTATGGCAAATTCTTCCCATCATCAGACGTACAATTTTAAGTGGAGAATTCAGTTCTCTTGGTCAGAAACATAATGTAGTACATGCAACTCTAAATACACCATACTATTTTCTCTTAAAATGGAATCTCACCCTTCAGAAATTCTTAAACATCTGTGTTTGTAGCCTATAAGCATAATAACATTTCAGATCGTACCAAAAGTAGTAATTTTTTAAGAAGAAGAAAGAAAAGGCAGGTAGAAATAAAGGCCCTTGGACCAGCTGGTAATCTTATTGTTAAAGGAAAGTAAAACATATTAACTCACTGGGAAAAGCTTTACATTTCTTGCTACTTTGATAAAAAATGCTGACATCTTTGAAGCTGTCTTAGATTGGGTTCCCTGGAGGCTGACCATGAAATGGAAAGTTGTGGGCCGGAGGCTTACCGTGGAGTGCTCTCAGGAGACATATGTGTGAGGAAATGAGGATGGCAGGATTGGGAGAAGCTGATCAGAAATATGGCCTCAGCCAATCTGATATCCCCAGCAGCTGAAGGATGGCTGTGTTGGCCTGAAGAGGGGATCTGTGCGGTGGCCACAGCTCCCTCCACAGATGATAACGTAGGTCTCATGATACATCACTACAATGGGGACACCAAAGACAAACTGACTTCTCATGTACATCACTGCAATGGGGACACCAAAGACAAATGGACTTCTCATGATACATCACTACAATGGGGACACCAAAGACAAACTGACTTATAAGTGTCATCAGCTCAAAGAGTAATGAAGATTACTTCCTGCACCAGGAAATTTGAAATGTCTGAAATCTTAGTTATATATGGAAGAAAATGATAATGTTCCATCATTTGACATTCCATCATTTGACAATAATCTCAAAATTCCACATGATGTTACAATGAGTGGTGAAACTGAAACAGTTGTAGATGATCAATGATAAAAATAAAATTTCAGGCTGGGCACGGTGGCTCACTCCTGTAATCCCAGCACTTTGGGTGGCTGAGGCAGGTGGATCACCTGAGGTCAGGAGTTCAAGACCAGCCTGGCCAACATGGCAAAACCCCATCTCTACTAAAAATACAAAAATTAGCTGGGTGTGGTGGCGCGTGCCTGTAATCCCCGGTACTCGGGAGGCTGAGACAGGAGAATCGCTTGAACCTAGGAGGCAGAGGTTGCAGTGAGCTGAGATTGCACCACTGCACTCCAGCCTGGGTGACAGAGCAAGACTCCATCTCAAAAAATAAAATAAAATAAAATAAAATTTCAACCAAGCCTACTGAAGACTGCGTTATATTTCCATTCTTTCTGTGGGAAATTATATTACACAGTTGTTGTATGAGATGTAAAGTATATGCAGCAGAAAGATATGGGAAAAAGGTATTGTAGAGTTTTCTAGGCAATTAAGAAAAATATCGTTATTTTTCTACGTTTTGTGATACTGTGTTGTTTGTAAGCTTTTTAAAAAGTGTAATTTGTCACCATTTCTTTTCTCATTCTAAATAGAGATTCCCTTTCGAATCTAACATGTTGTTCGTAACTGTGGGCTGGTAACACTGCAAGCTTAATCCATAAAACCAGGATCCACACTGAGATCCCGCGACCTCACAGTCCTCCCTTCCTCAGGTGTCCTAGAGCTTCCCTTTGGCTGAGCCCAACAGAAGCCAGGGAGCCGCTCTAGGTCGCCTCTTGGGTGGAGGGCAGGATGACAGAGGGTGGAGAGTGGATCAGGAGGCACACATTGAAGCTAACAGGCACAGCTCAGCAATATGGAGCCAAATCATAGAGTCCTTGAAGGCTAGACTCAGCTTGCCCTTTATTCATGGAAAAATGACATCTGAGTGACATAAAGACAAAAATCTATATTGAAGGAGCCTTTAATCCAGGGTCATAGAAGATGCCTGCCGCTCACCACGGGTGAACCAAAGTCCTGCATTCACGCACAGGCCGGAGGACGTGTCTGCTCCTTCTCTCCTCTTCTGTGGCCTGGAAAATTTGCGTCTCAAAGGAAACTATTGGGAAGAAGCCAGCAAACAACACCATGAAGGCAAAGGGGCAGAGCACCACCACCATGGACATGACCACCCTAAGCCAATCAGAGGCTGCCATGAGTCCTTTGATGCTGTTAGCAGCCCTGATATCCTGAGTGTCCAGGTACATCCACCCACCTCCATGCTGTAGTTGAGGCCCTGTCTTCTTGTTTCTTCCTCACCCGGTCAACTCCCAGAGGCGGCTCTCCATGGCCAGTGCCAGCTGCACAAACAGAATCAGAGGGCCCTCCCGCCCTTGGAAGATAGTAGCCCAAGTTTGGGGTGGAGGTGCCAGAACCGAATCCTCTGTTGACTCTTCTGTGACTGTCCTGGGGAAATGAAATCCTGGCCTCTTTCCCTAGGTCTCTTCCTATTCTGTTGGATCCTGAGAGATTCCAGAGTGACCTTCTTTCCTCTACTCATCCCGTCAACGTTCTCCTTGACTGATCTCTCCCACACTTTGTCCTCCACCACAAGCCAGGACTCCTGGATCTGCCATTATCTCCAGCCAGCTGGCCTTCCTCGGATCCTTTTATGCAGCTTCCTGTGACGCACCCCTGCTCGGGTGTTTCCAAAAATACTTCAAAGGCAATATGTTCAAGACCAAACTCACCAAACCCTGACAATCTTCCCATTACAATAGTGCTCAGATCTGTTGTTTCCCATTCTCTCTCCTCTTCACTCCCCTACGTAGGCTCCTATTACCTCCTGGCCAGACCATTGTCTCAACCTCCTCTGGCTAGACCTGTTGCAGCCACTCTGTTCAGCTCCCTGCCTTGAGAATCCACCGCACACACAGTGCCATGGTGAGATTCCTAAAACACAGCGTGTCACTTCTCCGCTCAAACACCTTCTGGGGCTCTCTGTCACCTCAGAAATGGAATCCAAACCTCTCAGCCTGGCCATTTTTATTCTGTAGTCAGGCATGCATGTGGTATTGCAGTTATTTTAAAATATAAAATTATATATTTGCCCCCAAACGACTTCTCCCTGCTCCCCATTAGACAGTGAAGTTCTCGAGGAGGAGACAGGGCCCGAGGCACAATTGGCACCCAGGAAATGCTCGCTCAATGAATGAGCACTTTTACCTCGGCCTCTCTTTCTACTTTTGTCACTCACTTGTGTCTCCAACCCACCCTCCCCGATCAGGCTAGTCAAACCTATGTGCTCACTGCTCACCCGCGTGCCCAAATTCACCTCTCATCTGTGCTGTTCACATGTGCCCCACTGACAGCTTTCTTCCCTAGTCCCTCCGCCACTTCCTTTCAGCCTCTGCCCACATGCGTATGTGGGAACACAGGCATGCACACATGCACATGTCACATATACACTGCACACACACCACACACAACACACAACCACATACACATGTGCACATGTCACATATACACTGCACACACACCACACATATATGCACACAACACAGAGACCACATACACATATGCACATGCCACATATACACTGCACACACACCACACACGCACACACACAGCATACAACACACAGACCACATACATATGTGCACATACCACATAGACACTGTATACACACACCACACTACACACATTACATACTGCACATGACACTGCACATATACACCACACACACACACACACACACACCACACACACACACCCACACACCCCCCCACACACACATCCCCGCACACACACCCCCACACATATGCACACACCCCCCACACAAACACCCCCATACACACGCACACCACACACACACACACACACACACACCACAAACTCACACACTGCTTTGCCTGTGAAGGCTTTCTTGCTTCTTTCTCCTCCCCTTTTTTCTCCCCAGGAACTAATCTCTCACAAGTTCCACAGCATTTGTTCGTATGCCTCCTATGGCGCAGATCATATTTTGCTGACATATTTCACTTACTGGTTTACAAGTCTTATCTCCTCTACTAGACAGAGAGAGCCTCCAGGACGCAGCTGGCAGCATTCATTTTTTCTCTCCAACAGCAACTGGCCTACAGTGGGTATTTAACACCCGATTGTGAATGAATGCATTTGCCCTTCAAAGCAGGAAGGCCTTTCTTCTTGCTGTGGGTTAAACATATATTTTATTTCCACATATATAATTCATGATTGCATTCTTACTGCAAAACACTCAAACAATATAAATAAAGCTAAAGTTCCTTTTGCTTAGCCCCAATCCCAATCCTCTCCCCATTTACATACCTATAAAATCCAGGTATAATATAGTTTTGTGGGTTTGTTAGTTTGTTTTTTACAAAAGTGGCATATGGTATAAATTATTCTGCAGCTTGATTCTTTCCCTCTACAATATGTCAAAGCTATCTTTTTTATCTTTCTATGTATTAGATATATCATATCTAATAGCTGCAAGATACCATCGTTTGTATGTGTCAAGGTTTACTTAACCACTTCTTTATTGGTAGACATTAGCTTTTTCCAGTCTTGTCTTTTCTTTTTCTTTTTTTTTCTTACATGGAGTCTTGCTCTGTCGCCAGGCTGGAGTGCAGTGGAGCGATCTCAGCTCACTGCAACCTCCAACTCCCCAGTGCAAGTCATTCTGCTTCAGCCTCCCCGAGTAGCTGGGATTACAGGCACGCACCACCATGCCAGCTAATTTTTGTATTTTTTTGTAGAAACGGGGTTTCACCGTGTTGGCCAGGATGATCTTGATCTCCTGACCTCGTGATCCATCCAGCTTGGCCTCCCAAAGTGCTGGGATTACAGGCGTAAGCATCCTGCACATTGCTTCTTGCACATGCCTTCTTCTAGAATAAAGAGAGGAAGTAGAACTTCTGAGTCAAAAGAAAGGCACATTTAAGGTTGTATTAGATTTAAGCAAAACAATTACATTAGATGTCAAATTGACTTCCAGAGAGATTGTATTTATACTCCCCCAAACCCTTGCCATCACTTGATATTATAAATCTTTAACATTTTCGTCGATCCAATGAGAGAAAAAAGGCGTTGCCTTAATGTGCTTTTTCCCATTTATTCCAAGTGAGGTTGAACATCATTTTATGGGTTTGTTGGCCATTTGGCTTTTCTCTTCTGTGAAATGTACATATTATTTGCCCATTGCTATATTTGGTAGCTTGCCTTTTTCTTATTGATTTTTAGGATATCTTTACACATTATAGCTATTACTTCTTTGTCTATTATTAATAAATATATGTGGGAAACATTTTATCTGAATCTGTTGCTTGTCTTTTAATTTTCTTGAGTGTGTCTATTTTGCTTCATGTGATTTCTTTATTTTTATTTTTATTTTTTTAGAGCTGGAGTCTCACTCTGTCACCCAGGCTGGAGTGCAGGCGCCACCTTGGCTCACTGCAACCTCCACGTCCTGGGTTCAAGTGATTCTCTTGTCTCAGCCTCCTGAGTAGCTGGGATTACAGGCGTACATCACCATGCCAGGCTAACTTTTGTATTTTTAGTAGAGATAGGGTTTCACCATGTTGGCCAGGCTAGTCTAGAACTTCTGATCTCAGGTGATCCACCTGCCTCAGCCTCCCAAAATGCTGGGATTACAGGCGTGAGACACTGTGTCCGGCCCAGGTGATTTCCTTTTAATCCAAATTTGCTTTTTTCCAAATGAATATCTGATTGTCCCAGCATTCTTTGTGGAAATACTCATCTATTTCCCAATAATGTGAAATGGCACTCTTACCATGTAGTAAAATTTCCCATCTGCATGGATCTATTCCTGGACTTTAAACTTTCCTTTATCACTCCATTTAAAGTCTGTTTCTTATAAACAGGATTAAGATAGGTTTTTGTGGCTGTGCTGCGTGGTGGCTCATGCCTGTAATCCTAGCACTTTGGGAGGCCAAGGCGGGTGGATCACCTGAGGTCAAGAGTTCAAGACCAACCTGGCCAACATGGTTAAATGTCGTCTCTACTAAAAATTCAAAAATTAGCCGGGCGTGGTGGCACGTGCTTGTAGTCCCAGCTACTTAGGAGGCTGAGGCAGGAGAATCGCTTGAACCTCGGGAGGCGGAGGTTGCAGTGAGCGGAGATCACACCACTGCGTTCCAGCCTGGGTGACAGCACGAGACTCCGTCTCAGAAAAAAAAAGATAGATTTTTGGTTTTTTAGCCCAGTCTATATTCTGCCTTTTAAAGAGAGAATTCAGTTCATTCTCTGTGTACACAGAGATAGTGTACAACAATAGTGTACAACTGTTGTATTTCATTTTATTCCTTCCAGCTTATGTTTCTAATGATTTTTTTTCTTAATTTTAGTGGCTTGCTCAGGTTGCTTTCCACCCTTATTAATGTGGACATTTTCATTCCGCGAATGGTTATATCACCTTTCCTTTCCTGGTGTTCATAATCAAACTCTATTTCTTTAGTATTATAGGGATACGAGATATGATTTCTCCACTCAGACACTATTCTCTGACTATTCCTCCCCTTCAGGTGTTTCTTTCCTCCACCAATGAGACATTCAGAATACCGTTACTTTCCCCATTTTCTTCCTGTCACCCCAATTAGTCTGTGGGATGCTTTTACTCCCCACGCCCTGTTGCCAGCGTCTAGGTGCAGCTGAAACCGCTTAGCACTTTTCTTTCTAAATCCTGTCTCTACTGAAAATACAAAATCAGGCAGGTGTGGTGGCGCATGCCTGTAATCCCTGCTGCTCAGGAGGTTGAGAATTTCCTTTGCAGTGTTTCACTTCTATTTCAAGAATCCTTATTCAGTGTTACACATTTCCAGACAGTCTGTCATTATCCATTTATATTTAATAATACATATGTATATATCAATACATACATAAATACATATATATACACACACATATGTGGGTATATATGGTTAAATATGTATGTATATCTACACATATATAGTTAAGCGTGATTTATCATTCACTTCTGTTTCCTCTTTTCTTCTCTGTTAGAATTCATTGGATTTTGGTTGAAGTCTTTTTTTTCTTTTTTTTCTGAGATGACCTAAATGATCCACCCGCCTTGGCCTCCCAAAGTCCTGCGATTATAGGGCGTGAGCCACTGCGCCGGGCTTATTTTGGTTGAGGTCTTTAAAACTCTTTTCTTCAGAGACTGCATGTGAGCGATGTAATTTTTGAATCCTTGCATACGTGTGTGTCTGTGTGTGTGTGTTTCACTCCTGTGGGTGAATGATGGCTTGGCTAGGTACACAATTCCAAGGCTGCAGTCTTTATAACCCGTGAGTCTGTATCTGTCAGGCCGCTGTCTTTTGTCCCTGTTGTCCTCTTTGATTCAGTTATTGGTCCCCTGTTAGGTCTCCTAAATCTGCCCTGCAAATGGCTCCCATTTTCCCCGACAGTTTCTACCCCTCTGCATTTTGCTCTGTGGTTTGCAGTATTCCTCACATTCATCCGTCAAGCCACGAATTCAAGCCTTATCTCTGGCTATCTTTCCACTTAAATTATCCATTTCACTTTTTGGTTAAATAAGAATGTTTTGACCAGGCACGGTGGCTCACGCCTGTAATCCCAGCACTTTGGGAGGCCGAGGCAGGTGGATCACTTGAGGTCAGGAGTTCAAGACCAGCCTGGCCAACGTGGTGAAAACCCATCTCTACTAAAGATACAAAATCAGCCAGGTGTGGTGGCACACGCCTGTAATACCAGCTACTCAGGAGGCTGAGGCAGGAGAATCACTTGAACTCAGGAGGCGGAGGCTGCAGTGAGCCGAGAGCGAGCCACTGCACTCCAGCCTGGGAAACAGAGTAAGACTCTGTCTCAAAAAAAAAGAATGTTTTGAAGTTTCAGGCCATATTCGTTGAGTTCTTCTGCTGTTGTTATTGTTGCACTGTGCTCTGTCTCCCCGGAAGCCCGTTCTGGAATTTTGGTGCATTCCTCCCTTTGCGCCTTCGGCCTCCTTGGTATGTTGTTTCCTTTCTTTGCCTGACCCCTGTGGCTCAGCAGCTAGAAAACCACAGGTTGTGGAGGGGCCTCGGTGCTGTCGGTCCCTGGAGGTCCAGGTAAGAGCAGGCAGACCAGTAGGCATTCCCTATTGAGCAAGAGGAGCTGCCCCTGGGTCTCACAGCTCACCTGTTCAGTTCCTCCTTAGCTTTTTGGGGGCTGAGGAGACAAGTATGTGTATGTGGCCAGAGCGGTACTTCCCTTAGAATCTCGTCCAGGCTCTCTTAGAGGGGAGGAAGCCCCACTTCACCACCCAGCATATTTCCTTCAGGCTCTTGCCTACCTGCTGGCCGCAGTAACAAGTTGGCTTGGAAGAGGTGGTGGGTAGTGTCTGGAATGGTATGTTATGTGGAGGGAAGGCAGACACATTAAGCTGCTGCTGTCCCAGAATCCCCGTGTCTTCACACTCTATTCAGGTTTTCCGATCTCTAGAGTCAGGTAGTCCCTGAATCACTACCTCAGAGCTGTTTCATTTGTTTTTTGAGACAGAGTCTCACTGTGTCGCCTGGGCTGGAGTGCCGTGGCGTGATCTTCTTGGCTCACTGCAGCCTCTGCCTCCCGGGTTCGAGCGATTCTCCTGCCTCAGCCTCCCAAGTAGCTGGGATTACAGGTGCCTATCACACCTGGCTAATTTTTGTATGTTTAGAAGAGATGGGGTTTCACCATGTTGACCAGGCTGGTCCTGAACCCCTAGTCTCAAGTGATCCACCCGCCTCGTCCTCCTGAAGTGCTGGGATTACAGTCGTGAGTCACCGCTCCCGGCCTAAAATTTTTAATTGAGGTAAAATAGATATAAAATGTACCATCTTACCCATTTTAGGGATATGGTTCAGTAGTGTTAATTGCACTCACAGTGTTCTGCAACCATCTCCAGAACTATTTTTATCTTATAAAGTTGAAACTACAGCCATTAAACAACACATCCCCCTTCCTCCCTCCCCAGCCCCTGGCAACCGCCATTCTACATTCTGTCTCCAGGAATTTGACTATTGTAACTACTTCCTGTGAGTGGAATCATACAGTATTTGCCTTTTGTGACTGGCGTATTTCACTTAGCGCAACGCCCTCGAGTTTCGTCCATGCTGCAGCATGTGTTGGAATTTCCCTCCTCTCTAAGGCTAAAGAGTGTTCCACTGTGCACACCACATTGTGTTTACCTGTTCGTCTGTCGACGGATACTTACGTGGCTTCCAGCTTTTGGCTGTTGTGAATAACGCCATCACCCAGCTCCAGCGATTATCAACTCAGAGCCAATCCTGCTGCAGCGGTAACCCCACTCACTTCCCATTTCATATTATTTTGAAGTAAATCTGAATGAGGTATTTTACCATTATCTTTTCTGTTTGGTTGAAGATCACTCCCGTGGAGAATCAGAGCCCGAAACTAACAAATACTATTCCGCCCCAAATTGTTTAAATGTGTTTGGCATGAAGACGGAAGGCAGAGGAGGTGGGAGGCTGCCACAATAAGAAAGGGTGGATGAGGAAGGAGAAGTGGGTCAGAGAGCAGCTAAGACTTATCCCGAGGACGTGAGCTTCTGCTCTCCCTCGGTGCCACCTCTTTCCCCCTCAAACCTAGTCCTCGGGTTCTTGAAGCAGGGAAGACTCCAAAGATTCCAGACCACTGCAACCATCCTAGTTTTAGGGTCCCTAGTTTTAGGGCCCTGCCCAGAGACATCGCCAACATCTCACTGGCCAGAACTATGTCACATGGCCATCCCTAGCTGCCAGGGAGGCTGGGAAGTTAAGTACTTCAGCTTTCTAGACTCTGTGGTCATGATGGCAAGGGCAAGGGGCTGAAGTGGGTGTTGAGAGAGCCAACCAAGGTATCTGCCACGCGATGGCTCAGA
The DNA here is from genome assembly GCF_000001405.40 of Homo sapiens. Lineage (NCBI taxonomy): Eukaryota > Metazoa > Chordata > Mammalia > Primates > Hominidae > Homo > Homo sapiens. Next base: position 197,351,420 of record NC_000003.12, read on the forward strand.
GCCTGGGAACCATGACAATTTCTGTGAGCCGTGGCAGTTTGAGGCCTACAGTTCACTCTATGTCATTAATTGACTCTGTGTGTGTGTGTGTGTGTGTGTGTGTGTGTGTGTGCATGAGAGAGAGACAGAGAGAGAGAGAGGATAATTTGTGAGTGAACCCTTTGTTCTTCATCCCTTCTCCATCTTGTGCTCCCCCCATAGCCTAGGAACTTCCCCAGGTTCATGGATTTCTTGACCACTCACCGTCTGTAGACACCGTCTTCAGACACCATCTCAGCACTGAAGACACACTGTGAACAAGGCATGTGTGTAGCCCCAGCCCCCATGAAGCTTACAGTCTAGCAGGAAGGACAGCATTTTAAAAGTTGCTAAATGATAGGGACTTGTCCATGAAACTGAATTGAATCTGGTTTAGCTGGTCAACAAAGAGAGTCTAATTTGCCATTAGACTACCATTTTGGTAATCGCTAGTTCTGAATGTCTGGCATGTAGTAGGCCCTCAGAAAATATCTGCTGGGGCCGGGCGTGGTGGCTCACGCCTTTAATCCCAGCACTTTGGGAGGCAGAGGCGGGCAGATCACGAGGTCAGGAGTTGGAGACCAGCCTGATCAACATGGTGAAACCCCGTCTGTACTAAAAATACAAAAATTAGCTGGGCGTGGTGGTGCATGTCTGTAATCCCAGCTACTCAGGAGGCTGAGGCAGGAGAATAGCTTGAACCCAGGAGACGGACGTTGCAGTGAGCCAAGATCATGCCACTGCACTGAAGCCTGGAGTGAGACTGTGTCTCAAAATATATATGTATATATATATGCTGAAGATAGATATTTGAGTTTCTATTTGATATCCCTGCCTGGAGTTATCGGCTCTCTCAGGTCAGAGGGCATGGCGGATTTATTTTCGTGTCCTCAGTGTCTAGCTCAGTACTGGCACACAGTAGGAACTCGGGAAGTATTTGAAGAATGGAACGGAATCCCGTTTATGTCATCTATAAAGACCATCAACTTGGCAATTGGGCCAAAATCCTTTTTGGGTGTGTGCTCTCTGGGTCACTGTGGTACAATCAGAGCAATGAGTTATTTTAAACCTCATAAACTTTTTTTGTGTGTGAAGCCACAGTCTCATCCTGGCACAAAATACACACATCTTGTTCCCATGAGGTCATGGCCAGGGGAGATTAACTCAGAGAGCCTCGGCAGGTTTCCATATCTGTGAGTGTGGCAGCACGCTGCACTGCCTGGCTTTCCTCCATGCTGCCCTGCCCCCGCTGTGTCTGCAGGAGCAATGATTGAGGATGAGACCTCTTTCTCCACTGAAGGAAGGAGTGGGGCATTCACAGAGGAATGAACTGAGTGTCTTTCTTCCCTTTTTCTTTTTACCTTGTTTCCGAAATTTTCTCTGACCTGAGACCTGAAAGGCACATGCACGCCTCCTAATTGCTGTTGCCCCGGACGAGGAGTCTTCGGTGGACTCTTGCCTCTGTTCTTAGGCCTTGAGGTCAAGTCTGGTGGAAAAGTGCTCTGCCATGATGATGTGTAGAATGTCGGTTTTATCCCAATTCAAAAGAAACACAGCATAATAGAATTTTCTCAACTATGAATTTTTCTCTTACATGTTTTTCTTAAGCTCTTAATGGATTTCTTTTGACCACTGGTGAGCTGCAGGCACAGCAAGTGAACTATTTTGCCGAAGCTCCAGAGACATGACCGTGGGCCTGCGCTACCTGGACTGATTGGAACAGCATTGCTGCTGGTCATGCTCAGAAGCCACCTGCTGCCTGGAAGGCAGGGAAGGGAGGTCAGCTTGACCTGCTGCTTAATTGTGTCCAGATGTCTCTATACTCTGATCCACCTACAGAAAAGGACACTCAAATGTGAAAAGAACATCTCTACTTGACTCAGAATGTTTCTTCAGAGTGACAGTGACAGTGACAGTGAGGTGACAGTGACTGACAGGGAGGCGAGCAGGCTGGCTGGGAGCCTGGCAGTCCTAAGTTCTTATCTTAGCTCTTCTACTCACTAACTGTAACTTCGGGCAAGTTAACCTCTATGAGCCTCAGTTTCTTCATCTGTAAAATGGGGAGGTGACTGTTAGAGTTTTTGGTAGGATGGACTAAGCAGATACATGAAGAGTGGCTGGCAGGACCCCTGATTCAAGAGAAATGGCCGTGATTATGACTCTGATTCATATTGTATTGGTTGCTAGGTGGCTATTTTGTGGGGAGAGGGTGTAACTTGATCACAGGTATGTACGGCCAGAAGCACTGGCTCCAGCTGTCCTTTCAAAAGCTCTCAGGTTATGGAGTCGTACATTGTTCTACTTACTGTATCCTCATTAATTCTTGATCCATCCCTCAGCCCTTCTTCCCACTCACTTAGATAAAGCAGAGACCTGTGGTTTTCCTGCTGGCATTTTGTTCAGACACTGGTTTCTGAAGGTCTTTCCTGCCACTTGGAAGGATGGAGGAATACAAGGACTGAGAATGTTTGACTCCTTGGAGGGAGACACAGGGTTTCACGGGATTAGCTGACACAGCATGTAATCACCTTTCTGCTGCTCCCTAAGGCGGGGGGTGGGGGGTCTATTACTGTTGCTTCTTAAGTAAGCTTAGATGGAGCCTGGCTTCGCAGGCCCAGAATCCACTGCTGGACACTTTCCCTCCCTGGCCATGGCTTCTTGTGGCCAGAGGGGAATTCCCAGCAAAACTGTTGAGCCAACCTGGCACATGGACCCAGCCTAGCAGTCCACCCTACTCTGTTCTGTGGAGTCCGGGGAGGGTCTTGTTCTTGCTGGACATTTCCCCTGGGCACTTTATTCAAGAATGAAGGAACGAGAGACAGAGAGCTGAGTCTGAGAGGCAGAGAGAATCAAAGAGACAGAGACTGAAAGAGACATGCACACAGACAGAAAGAGACAGCGGTACAGAGAGAAACTAAGAGGCAGTCTGAGAGACAAGGAGACAGAGACAAGGAGACGACGACTGAAGGAGAGACACACAGAGAGACAGGGGGACAGACAGACGTGTGGGCAGAGGGAGCAAGCGAGAGACAGAGAGAGCAGAGTGTTAAAGGGACAGAAAGAAACAGAGAGAGACTGAAAGCAGAGAAAGAGAGACAGAGAGAAACAAACACACAGTGAGACAGAAACAGACACACACAGACAGGACAGAGAAGTAAACATAGAGGAATACACAGGCAGGCATGCAGAGAGATGGAGACGAAATCACACAGAGGCAGAGCTATAGACGGAGAGACGAGACACATTCAGAGAGAGAAAAAGCAAAGAGTTTCGGGGGAGATGAGGCTAAAGAGAAATGCCGGACTTGGCGGGAGACAGGACAAAGCAGTGGCTCAGCTGGGGACACGCACCGTTTGCACCAGAAGTCTTCACGCTCAAGTAGTTTCTTAGCTCTCAGCAGACAGCTGAGGATCGTCTCCAGACGACACGCTTCGGGAAGTGGGCCGGGCAGACTTACAGGGACAGCTGGGCTTCAGCTGTGGTTTACGGCGGCCAGCCTTTTAATCCAGGGCCAGGCCCGCAGGCAAGCTGGGGAGCTCAAGAGGCTCCCCCCGTAGCTCCCCGCTCCCAGGACCACGATAGGGACCCTGTGGGTCCTGTGGCCAGGGCAGACCCAGTTGAGGGGGAGGAGTATCCAAGCGCAGATACTCAGCCTGCAGGAGGCCTGGGGTCTGCAATCCACGGCAGCCCACACAGCCTTGGCTGTGGATGTAGGCCTCTGCTGTCATTTCAGGAATATGGGGAGCAGCCAGCCCCATTTCCTAAGCAACACCCCTGTCCTCACCACTCGCATGCCCACATACACACACGCACTTTCTAGTCTGCTGGGGGAATGGCTCCTTTTAGGCAGAGAGGGCTTAGTAACTGGAGTCAGCCATCGTAGAATCTCTGTTTCCCAACACAGCAGGAAAGTCAGGTGGAGAAATGTTCACCTGAGAAATCCTATCTGGTGTTCAGCGTGGTACTTCTGAAGGCCTGCAGAGGTGTGGGCTCTAAGCAGGAGAGTCAACCTTAAACTCCTAAGATGCGAGGGGCCCTGAGCCCGGAGCCTCGGCCTTGCTCCTGGCTCCTCCTGGCTCCCTGGCCTGTTCCGTGTTCTCCAAGTGCCTGCCTGTTTCTCTCTATGTTCTGATGACTGCTAAGGCTACCCTTCCTCCATCCTTGCTCTGCATCACTCACGGCATTTGCCCACTCGTACCCCAAGACATTGCAGGAGCTTGTCGTTGTCATTTCCCCTGGGACCTACCGAGGGTCACCAACTCTCTTGCTGACCAGACCTAGAGCCCAAGAGAGGCATCAAGCCTTGCCCTGAGATAGGATGTACTACCATCTCTCTGTTGAAAAGGGAGGTGATATCTAAAAAATGCTGCCCTTTTGACCCTGGGACCTCACAGTAGACATTACAATACAAACAAAGCCATTGGAGAAATCAAAGCTCATCCTTGGATAAGGAAACTGGGTCTGGATAATCTTGCAAGATAATTGCATTCCTGTGCCTGTCCTCTCTGCCCACAAGAGTCAACATGGGGCCAGGTGTTGCCTCATGCCTGGAATCCCAGCACTTTGGGAGGCTGAGGCAGGCGGATCACCTGAGGTCAAGAGTTTGAGACAAGCCTGGCCAACATGGTGAAACCCTGTCTCTACTAAAAATACAAAAAAAATATAGCCAGTTGTGGTGGCAGGTGCCTGTAATTTCAGCTACTCAGGAGGCTGAGGCAGGAGAGTCACTTGAACCCGGGAGGTGGAGGTTGTAGTGAGCTGAGATCGCACCACTGCACCCCAGCCTGAGCAACAAGAGGGAGACTCTGTCTCAAAAAAAAAAAAAAAGACTCCACAAGGTCCAAAGGAGCTCACTGTTGTCAGTTCACCCAAGTGTGAGCCCTGTGTGGAACCAGGGTGTAGCATGACGGCTGGATCAGTTCACCCAAGTGTGAGCCCTGTGTGGAACCAGGGTGTAGCGTGACGGCTGGATCAGTTCACCCAAGTGTGAGCCCTGTGTGGAACCAGGGTGTAGCGTGACGGCTGGATCAAGTGCAGAGTGTGGGGACCGGTCAGAGAGCTGGCACTGAGTGAGTCTTTGTCAGCAGGTTGGCGTGGAGCCCTCCTTGATTCTAACAGTCTCACTTTCTGTTTCCATCGTACTTTCGTTTGCAAAGCTCTTTCCCCCTCATCATCGTATTCCATTCTCCCCACGACTCTTAGGAGACGGGCAACCCGACTTTCCCCGCACAGGGAGAGAAAGTGAAGAACACAGAGGTGGGTGGGTAGCCTCTTCAAGGACACAGGGTGAATAGTGCCAGAGCCAGGACCCCAACCTAGATCTTCTGGATTAAAAAACCAGGGGCACTTTCTACTCGATTCGGCTTTTATAGGTGAGACACTGACCAGTTCCTGCCAGAATCCTATCTTCCATCATTTATTTCCTCTGAAAAGGAAAACCCAAAGCGGCAGGCAAGATATTGCGTGTTATGCCTCAGGGGGTTGGACAGTCCTAGAATTACCTGGAACACTTACTTCCAGCATGAGGGTTCCTCATGTAGCTATCGCACCTCCCAGCCCTTCAGCTGCATACCTGCAGGCCACCTGCTCCACACACAAGCCATGAAAAGGCATGCTGTGATCTGAACTGTATGTCTCCCCAAAATTCACAGGGGGAAACCTAATGAGCAAGGTGATGGTATTAGAAGGTGGGACCTTTGAGAAGTGAGGTCATGAGGTCATGAGGGGAGCCCTCATGGATGAGATGAGTCCCTTATAGAAGAGACTCCAGAGTGCTAGTGAGCCCCTGTGACCCTGTGAGTTTCCAGTGAGAAGGAAGTGGGCCCTCGTCAGACACTGACTCTGCAGGCACCTAGATCTCGGACTTCCCAGCCTTTGAAACTGTGAGAAATAAATGTCTGCTGTTTACAAGCTACTCCGTTTAGTGCATTTTGTTAGAGCAGCTCAAAGGGACTAAGACAAGGTGCAAATGCTCAACCACAGAATGAGCACGACCATAGCACAGGCTCCCGGGCGGCACAGGGGAGATGGGGGAGAAGGGCAATTTGTTATGTCTTGTTGCTGGTTATTGCTGATCTACAGGAAGGCAGCTGCTCCGAGCCATGTATCTTAGATACGGCCCTTTGATGGAATTTCATTAATATCAGCAAGTGTTTTCAGTTGATTATCTGGGAATTTCTAATGATAATTTTTTCTCCTTTTGAATAATTCTACTTCTTATTTCTATTTTATTGCATGAATCAGATCTTCCCAATATTAAATAATAGTAGTAATGGTAGAGATTTTTATTCCTGATTTTAACAAGACTGTGTCTAATGTTTCAGCTTCTGAGATCAGACAAGATTGGGCACCTTCAGGGTGGTATGGCCCTATGTCTAATATTTTCTTTTCTTTTCTTTTTTGTTTTTGTTTTTTGAGACGGAGTCTCACTCTGTCACCAGGCTGGAGTGCAGTGGCGCGATCTCAGCTCACTGCAAACTCTGCCTCCCGGGTTCAAGCGATCCTCCTGCCTCAGCCTCCCAAGTAGCTGGGACTACAGGCGCACGCCACCATGCCCAGCTAATTTTTTGTATTTTTAGTAGAGACGGGGTTTCACCATGTTGGCCAGGATGTTCTTGATTTCTTGACCTCATGATCTGGCCACCTCAGTCTCCCGAAGTGCTGGGATTACAGGCATGAGCCACTGTGCCCGGCCATGTCTAATATTTTCTAATTAAGTATTATATTTGTCACTATCATGAGTTGCATTTGGTTGTGGTAAGGAAAAATCTTTCTATTCCTAGTTTAAATTTTCTTTAACAAATCAGGAATGAACATTTTCTGATAAAGATTTAGCAGCTGCAGGCTGGGTGCGGTCTCAAAAAAATTACAGGCTCACGCCTGTAATCCCAGCACTTTGGGAGGCCAAGGTGGGCGGACCATGAGGTCAGGAGATTGAGACCATCCTGGCTAACATGGTGAAACCCGTCTCTACTAAAAATACAAAAAATTAGCCGGGTGTGGTGGTGGGCACCTGTAGTCCCAGCTATTTGGGAGGCTGAAGCAGGAGAATGGCGTGAACCTGGGAGGCGGAGCTTGCAGTGAGCAGAAATCGCGCCTCTGCACTCCAGCCTGGGCAACAGAGAGAGACTCCATCTCAAAAAAAAAAAAAAAAAAAAAAAGATTTAGCCGCTGCAAAGTGCGTTGAGTCAGGGGAATGGATCAAGAAGGATTCCTGTTGGAGTGGTGTAGTAGAGTGGTTGTTAGTGCAAACATGTAGATTTGGCAGCCTTTGCATGAGAGACCTGGGGGAGGCACAGCTCTGCTGTTCATTACCTGAGAGACCTTGGGAATTCACTTAACTTCTCTGAGCCATCTTCACCTCATCTAGAGAAGCAGGGCCTTTACTTGCTAGTTTTGTGAGGATGAAGTGAGGTTGTGTATGTGAAGTACTGAGATAGCCAGTCTCCAAGACGGTCCTCAACAATCTCTGTCTCCTGTATTTACACCCTTATGGGATCTCCTCCTGTATGATATTAGGATTGGTCTGTGTAACCAATAGAATCCAGCAACTGTGATGATATGTCACTTCCAAGGCTAGGTCGTAAAATAGCATTGAGGCTTCCTGTTTGGTCACTCTCTTTCTTGGATCACGTGTTCGTGGGGATCACTTGGATCATGTGTTGTGAGCAGTCCTATGGAGAGGTTCACGCAGTAAGGAACAGAGGCCTCCTGCCAACAGCCATGTGTGAGCCATTTTACAAGTGGCTCCTCCAGCCCATCAAGTCTTCAGAAGACTGCAGCTTCTCAGATGACACTTTGACTGCAACCTCAGAGACCCTAAGCCAGAACCGCCTAGCTAAGTCACTCCTGACCTTCAGAAACTATGTGACATAATACATGTGATATGGTTTGGCTGTGTCCCCACCCAAATCTCATCTTGAATTGTAACTCCCACAATTCCCATGTGTCGTGGGAGGAACTCCGTGGGAGGTAATTGAATTATGGGGATGAGATCAGATGTTTTTTTAAAAATGGGAGTTTCACTGCGCAAGCTCTCTTTTTGCCTGCTGCCATCCATATAAGATATGACTTGCTCCTCCTTGCCTTCTGCCATGATTGTGAGGCTTCCCCAGCCATGTGGAACTGTGAGTCCAAATAAACCTCTTTCTTTTGTTAATTGCCCAGTCTTGGATATGTCTTTATCAGCAGTGTGAAAACAGACTAATACAGTAAATTGATACCAAGAGTGGGGTGCTGCTGAAAAGATACCCAAAAATGTGGAAGTGACTTTGGAACCGGTTAACAAGCAGAGGTTGGAACAGTTTAGAGGGCTCAGAAGAAGAGAGGAAAATGTGGGAAAGTTTGGAACTTCCTAGAGACTGTCGAATGGCTTTGACAAAAATGCTGATAGTGATACGAACAATAAGGTCTAGGCTGAGGTGGTCTCAGAAGGAGATGAGGAACTTGTTGGGAACTGGAGTAAATATGACTCTTCTATGTTTTAGCAAAGTGACTGGCAGCATTTTGCCCTGGCCCTAGAGATTTGTGGAAACTTGAACTTGAGAGAGATGACTTAGGGTATGTGGCAGAAGAAATTTCTAAGCAGCAAAGCATTCAAGATGTGACTCGGGTGCTGTTAAAGGCATTCAGTTTTATAAGGGAAGTAGAGCATAAAAGTTCAGAAAATTTGCAGCCTGACAATGTGATAGAAAAGAAAAACCCATTTTCTGAGGAGAAATTCAAGCTGGCTGCAGAAAGTAATGAGGAGCTGAATATTAATCCCCAAGACAATGGGGAAAATGTCTCCAGGGCATGTAAGAGGTTTTCACGGCAGCCCTCCCATCACAAGCCCAGAGGCCTAGGAGGAAAAAATGGTTTCATAAGCCAGGCCCAGGGTCTCTGTGCTGTGTGCAGCCTAGAGACTGACTAAAAGGGGCCAAAGTACAGCTTGGGCCATGGCTTCAGAGGGCGCAAGCCTCAAATCTTGGCAGCTTCCACATGGTGTTGGGCCTGTAAGTGCACAGACGTCAAGAATTGAGGTTTAGGAACCTCTCTCTGCCTGGATTTCAGAGGAGGTATGGAAACACCTGGATGCCCAGGTAGGAGTTTGCTGCAGGGGTGGGGTCCTCATGGAGAACCTCTGCTAGGGTAGTGCAGAAGGAAAATGTGGCGTTAGAGGTCCCACACAGAGTCTCTACTGGGCCACCACCTAGTGGAGCTGTGAAAAGGGAGGCACCATCCTCCAGATCCCAAAATGGTAGATCCACCAACAGCTTGCAACGTGTGCCTGGAAAAGCCACAGACACTCAACAACAGTCTGTGAAAGCAGCCAGGAGGTAGGCTGTACCCTGCAGAGCCACAGAGGCGGAGCTGCCCAAGACCATGGGAACCCATCTCTTGTATCAATGTGACCCAGATGCAAGACACAGAGTCAAATGAGATCATTCTGGAGCTTTAAGATTTGACTGCCTTGCTGGATTTTGGTCTTGCATGGGACCTGTAGCCCCTTTGTTTCGGCCAATTTCTCTCATTTGGAATGGCTGTATTTACCCAATGCCTATACCCCCATTTTATCTAGGAAGTAACTAACTTGTTTTTAATTTTACAGGCTAATAGGTGGAAGGGACTTGCCTTGTCTCAGATGAGATGTTGGACTGTGGACTTTTGAGTTAATGCTGAAATGAGTTAAGACTTTGGGGGACTGTTGGGAAGGCATGATTGGTTTTGAAATGTGAGGATATGAGATTTGGGAGGGGCCAGGGTGGAATGATATAGTTTGGCTGTGTCCCCACCCAAATCTTATCTTGAATTGTAACCCCCACAATTTCCGTGTGTCGTGGGGGAAACCCAGTGGGAAGTGAGTGAATTATGGGGGTGGGTCTTTCCTGCACTGTTCGTGATAGTGAATGAGTCTCACAAGATCTGATGGTTTTAAAAAAATGGGAGTTTCCCTGCACAAGCTCTCTCTCTTTGCCTGCCACCATCCCCATAAGATGTGACTTGCTCCTCCTTGCCTTCCACCATGATTGTGAGGCTTCCCTAGCCACGTGGAACTGTGAATCCAATTAAACCTCTTTCTTTGGTAAATTGCCCAGTCTCAGGTATGTCTTTATCAGCAGCATGAAAATGAACTAATGCAACATGTTTATTGTTTTAAAGCTGCTAAGTTTGGGGGTATCTTGTTACACAGCATTAGATGACTAATACAAGTACCTAACATATAATAAGTACTCAATCAAGGTTAACTATTCTATCTGTGTTAATATTAATGAATATCTAAATTACTAAAAAAAAAATCCAATTGGCCCTAACATTAAAAACAAATTTAAAAGTTTACGGAAACCCTCCATGCATCAAAAGATCTTTTTTGTTATACAGGCTTTAAATTTTAACCATGTTAGTTCGTATTAAGCACATAGAGCCTCAGTTATACAAAAAGAGGTACATGAAAATGGAGTCTTTGCAAATTAGTTCATATTTTAATGAAAATAATTTTGCTGAGAAAGTCACTTTGTTTCCTCACCTAAGAATTGAGGAGGTTGAAATAGATCTGCTCTTCCAATATGACAGCTACTAGCTGTACATGGCTATTTACATTTACACCTAAATTCATTAAATGTAAATAAAATGAAATATTCAGTTTCCTAGTTGTACTAGCCACATTTCAAGTGTTCAATAGCAAAATGGGGCTAGTAGTTGCAGTATTAGCATATATAGAGAACATTTTCATCATCACAGAAAGTTCTATTGGATAGTGCTGGTCTCGATATCTAGTAAGAATTGAATATGTGGCTTGTGTAGACCATTTGGCACAGTTCCTAGAACATACTAGGTTCTCTTTCTTTCTGCTTCCTCACAGCTCTGGGACAGGGGCAGCTGGGCCTTTGTCCTGACATAAACAGCTGAAAGACACAGAAACTAGTCTTAGGGCAAACTTTCCCACCCTCACTTGCTCACCATCATCTCAGATTTCTATGTTTCTATTACAATAGTCTTATCGAAGACTGAGTCTTACACCTCCAATAACCAGTTGTACAATCCTGCCTGTTTGTCTAGATGACACCTCAAAAATGCACAAAATCAAACTCAAACTGTCTGCTCCAGTCAGCACATCCTTTCAACATCTGTATTTCTTTATTTTTATTTTTATTTTTTGTTGTTGTTTTTTGAGATGGAGTTTCCCTCTTGTTGCCCAGGCTGGAGTGCAATGACGCGATCTCAGCTCACTGCAACCTCCACCTCCCGGGTTCAAGTGATTCTCTTGCCTCAGCCTCCTAAGTAGCTGGGATTACAGGTGCCCGCCACTACGCCCGGCTAATTTTTGTATTTTTGGTAGAGACGGGGTTTCACCATGTTGACCAGGCTGGTCTCGGACTCCTGACCTCAAGTGATCCACCCACCTTGGCCTCCCAAACTGCTGGGATTACAGGGGTGAACCTGTAACCACACCTGGCCTACCTCTGTTTTTCATCCATGGGACCGCCACCCTCTCTTGGAGGACTTCCCTTTGCCTCCTCTCTCCCTTCTCCACCTTGTGTCTCTACTGACCACTCACTCCAGGTCAAGTTCTCCTGATTTAGCCTTCAGACTACTTTTCATTCCTGTTCTCTCCTCTCCATCTCCCCCGCCAGCACTCTACTGCATTAGAGGGCCTCATCGTCACTGTTGCAGGAGAGGCCTTATGGGTGTCTTGCTTTGTTAAAGATTTAGTGGAAAAGAAGGAATGGAGCTTGGAAAGGCCTGTTTTTGTTTGTTTGTTTGTTTTTTGTTTTGTTTTGTTTTGTTTTTCCAAGGACCAGTCTGGGAAAGATTGGTCTTGTAGAGAAGGAAATCGGGCATCTGCGAGGAAGCCAGACACAGGAGAGTGACTTCACGACCAGGAGGTCTTTTCTGAGAGCAAGTCATCTGAGCAGTTGCCAGGGAGAGTGAGACTCCCTAGGGGTCTTCTCGTCTTTTCCTGCTGCTCAGCAGCTCTCCTCTCACCCCTAGAAATCAAACCCTACTCTCCTAACATTTATTCATGCATTCACTCAAGTAACACTTCCTGAGCCTTTACCTTGCCTAGGGCCCTGGGTTGGACTCAGTCATAAAGGACCCAGAGATTAATAAGAGGTGTATCCTGCCCTCTCAGAGCAAATGATACAGTTGGGAAAGGTAGGTGTGTTGTTGGGAGACCAGGGCTCCCCAGAGAAGCAGGCCTCATTTTCTTCTGCCTCTATCTTGCCCCGTCAAAAGGAACCCAGTGAACTCAGCAGGAACACTGACTGCCACAGCAGGAACCTGAGGGAAAAGGTATGGTCTCGGGGCTGAAAGGCAGAAGGAAAATGCGCAACCTGTGCAACTGTTCCTAAAGACCCTGCTGCTGACGCATGCAGAGAATTGACCCTGAGCTGCCTGGAAGAGCAGAATCAAAGTGGTGGGAGGCTATGAGGAGGGAAGTCAGGAGCCAACGCTCGAGGGGAATCAAATCCAAGTGACTCTCGCCGACCTGTGGTCAGAAAACCAGCCCAGGAGTCAGAAGCTGGGAACAGGAAGAAGGCAAAGAATGGCAAAGAATGTAATAACATGGGCAATAGGAAATGCTTAGCTGGGAGTATTAAGGGCGTTTCTTATGGGGTTTGACTTCCTGGTGCAGACAAATGAGTGAGGCAAGAAAGGAATAGCTTATTGTGGAGGGGCTATTTTTTCTGTTTCTTCTTTTCTTACCTACAAATCTGTAGGGCAACAGGGGGCAGAAGCCGAATCAATAGTGGAAGTTACAGGGGTCTAATTGCAGCTAAACAAAAAGAGGAGATTGCTAGAACAACCACAGCTCCCTCACAATGAAGAGGCTCTCGGGGCCCGTCAGCTCTGTCATTCCTTTAAAGTGCTCAGACAGAAGCTGGGTAGCTCCCGTCAGGGATGGCGTGTGGTGGGGGAGTCAGGGGGCTGCTGATCATGGGCTCTGAGGGGATTCCCACTCTTACATTGCATTGAAGTGGGTTTTTGTTTGTTTGTTTCAGACACGGTCTTGCTCTGTCATCTAGCCTGGAGTGTAGTCACGAGATCAAGGCTCACTGCAGCCTTGACCTCCCAGGCTCAAGTACTCCTCCCACCTCAGCCTGCCAGGTAGCTGGTACTATAGGCACAGGCTCCCATGCCAGGTTAATTTTTCTTTTTTATCTTTTGTAGAGACGGGGTCCCACTGTCTTGCCCAGGTTGATCTAGAACTCTGGGGCTCAAGCGATCCTCCTGCCTCAGCCTTTCAATGTGTTGGGATTACAGGCAGGAGCCACTTTGCCCAGACACGTTAGAGTTTTGAGTGCCGTGTTTGACACAGTCTCACAGGATCGTCAGAGGTCTGTTCGACAGTTTGATGGCAGGGCCAGACTCAATAGGTGCTTAGAGTATGTGTGTGAATTCTTCTTAGTCTTTGATCTAGTTTAGCAAACATTTCCCTCTGCCCTTTCTCAGATCTCCAGCCTAATGGAGCACAAACAAGCTAGGGATGAGGGTAGAGGGCTGGGTGGCTGAGAGTCATCTCCATGCTGGCACCTGGCCCAGGGCATCAGGCTGGAAGTGTTTCCCATGTGCCGTAGTGGGAAGTAGTGGGAGGGTAAGGCTGGAAAGCACTGTCTAGAGAAGCTGTTTAGTTGCATCTCTGTCAGGACCACAAGCCCACAAAATGCCTTTGCATGGACTAGAAAAAGCACCCTTCTCACCGCCATATGGACACAGCTCATTTTGACTCAATGAGAGGAGGAGGTCTGGATTTCAATTCTTACTTGCCACTTCTCGTGCAGTAGATAACCTGCACAACGGTACTCAGTGGGCCCTGTCCACCATCCCACTGTCCCCTCCAATCTGTGTTCCTCCATGTGCTACAATCTCAGGACTGGACTTAAAGGAGAGCTGGAGCAATGAATAAGAATGAACGGGAGGCTCCAGGAATTGTTCCTTCTCAGAAATCAGCCATCTAGAAGGCACAAAGCCACACTAAGTCAGTGTCTAATATTAAGACTGCTATCTCTGCTTTTCTGGGCCTTTCCCAGAGCTGCCGAACACAGGGGAGGCTGAGGATAGAGGGATCCCTTCCAGGAACAAATTCCCAGATGCCTTCTTCCCTCACTAGTCCATTAAATGCACTTGCCCCTTTACTTCTACTGAAATACTTACGTGTTAAATAGCTTTCATTTATGTATAATATAGAGCTTCAATATCTGTCCATAATTTTATTCTGTCCTAAATTTCAAGTTCCTATAAAGTGCAGACTCTGCAATACATGAGTAATCGTGCTCAGTAACATGCCTGACAACTTGCCATTGGTGCTTTTAAATGATAATGATGATGGTGAAGCTCAAATTCCTCACCCTGTCATTCCATACCTTCCATCATCCAGCCCCGTAACCGACTCCCCTTCCTACCCCCATCATTTAGTTTCAACATCCTATATAACAGCCAAACTGGCCTGCATTCCTTAGACATCCCATCTCTGCTGTCTTAAGCTGTTTCTTTTATCTGCATATCCCTTTCGCCTTTCTTCTCTCCCTGAGTGTCTAAATCCACTCCTGAGTGTTTCTCTGGAGGGTCAACTCTAATACTGTTCCCCATGATATCCTTCCAGATTCCTTGTGCAGGAATGACCTGGTGTCTTTGCTCTCCCACGATTCTTCATTTCAACTTTTTTTTTTTTTTGAGACAGAGTCCTGCTCTGTCGCCCAGGCTGGAGTGCAGTGGCATGATCTCGGCTCACTGTGATTTCAAGTGATCCTCCTGCCTCAACCTCCTGAGTAGCTGGGATTACAGGCACCCGCCACCACGCCAGGCTAATTTTTGGATTTTTAGAGAGATGGGGTTTCTCCATGTTGGCCAAGCTGGTCTCAAACTCCTGACCTCAAGTGATCCACCCGCCTTGGCCTCCCAAAGGCCTGGGATTACAGGTGTGAGCCACCGCGCCTGGCCATTTCAACTTTTTATGGATAGAATTACATTTTCCCTTGTATCGTTGCTCTCTGAGCAAGTGACTGCTTCCCCCGGTAATCTGGGGCTCTGAGAGAAGAGGTTGTGTCTCTTCCACCTTCCTCTCTATAGGGTTCACCCCAGGGCTGGGCACCTGGTATTTAGTTCTGTGACCTGGACAAGTCCCATCCCTGCTCGTCAGTTAAGTGAGGGGTTGCATGAGATAATCTGTAAGGTGCAGGGTGGCTCTCTGGTCTGTAGCTCGCTAAATGCTCACTGAATGAATACAAGGTTGGAAGAGGGCAGCCCCCATCAGAGGAGGGAGCACTGGAGGATTTGCTATTTATAGAAGCCTGAAATTCTTGGATTGCCAAGAAGTTGGAAATTCAAACTGGTTAGTCCTGTGTACCAGATTTTTCTCTTCTCGTGAATGGGAATGGCATTAAGTGACTCAGAGTAGTTGGCACAAGGACACAATCTCTGTTCTTCAAAGTTGGCACTAAGAGCTCCTCCTGCGGTTCCCCTTCCTCTCCTCGAGCAGCAAAGGCGTGGTCCACAATGCCCACCCTGTGGGGTCTAGGGGTGCCCGGCTTGCTGACCTCCAGGCCCCCTCTGTGGCGAGGTTTGGACTGCATACATGGTGCAGGCCCCTCATCACTGGAGCTGCCAGGACAGCACTGGAGACCCTAAGCCAATACCTATTTTTGGCAATAATTATCAAGCATTTGTAAAAGCCCGGGTATGCTGGCAAATCTTTTTAAAATAAGAGCTTATTGTCTCCTCAGATTCCTGGCAGTGACCCAGCACGGTACAGTAGCTGTGATTCAAAGTGTGTAGGCACCCAGGGCCTGCGATGAGTCTTGGCAGCTGTTTAGTTCTCCCTCCTTGAACCCAGAGGGTCACAGCCACCGAGAGGAGGCATCCACACCCCATTCCCTCAGTCTTCCAGAATGCCACTGTGACCACATAGCTGCGGGCTTCTCTGCCTTGTAGACACGGGCAACCATCAAGGCCAAGGCATTTGGCGGGAAGCTCCAGAGCTGGGGTCGGGGCAGGGAGGGGCCACGCTGGGACTCTGCTGGCCCAGTACGGGGGCAGATGCTGTCTTAAGGGCTGGCAGAATGGGGAGAAGGGGTCCAGAGGGGAGAGGAGATGAGGGATGCCCCAGCTGACAGAGGCCCAGCTGGGCTACTGACTCACTGTGGCTCTTAATCTCCTGTGGAGGGCAGGCCCAGCTCCTGGGAGCCTGGAGGGCTTAGCAGTGTTTGCACAGCTACAGAAGTAGGGCCTGTGGGCTGGCACGAAGCCCTGCTGGGCCACAGACAGGAGGGTAGGAGAGCGGAGCAGGGCAAGAGAGAGGAGTGAGACGCAGGATGAGTTCCCTGGAGAGGGAGAAGTGAGCCTCACCAACCTGCAAAGGGAGTGTTTGCAGAGAGACTGACAGAGAGATGAAGCCTGGGTGGGGGTGGGTGGGGGCGGGTGGGGGGGAGAGTCAGGTAAATCAATATGCATGAGGCCAGTCCAGACTGTGCACCCCGGTCTAGAAAGAGACGGGTTGTGCATTTTTCAGCTTTTCATAACTGGGCCAAAGACTTCAATTTTCCCAATAAAATGTATGGGACCTGCTCAAGAGCCTAATAAGTTGAATACATAAACAGAAACTCCAGGTCCACTTCTGAACCCTCATTCTCTCCCTTTCTGTCTCCTTCACTCCACCGCCTGCCCTCTGACGGCCCCTGGTCGTCACTTAGTTCTCTCCTCTGTCTCATTGTACAAAAAAGAGATGGGAATAAAAATGCCTCCCTTTTACCTTGCTCTCCAAATGCTGAGAGAGTGATGAGTAGAGACCCAGAATGGAGCACGTGTGTTCCAAGGCTCTGTGTACAATGCTGAGCTTTGGCACAAAATGTGTGGCATGGAGATGATGTTCGAAAGAGTTTCAGGAGGGTTTCTCTTCTTCAGGAGGGTTTCTCTCTCCTATACATCTTGTTGCTCTGGGGCTTCCCATTCAGGGGGTTTCAATGCTTCAGGGAAGGAGCTCAAATCTGCCATTGCTGAGGTTTCACTGTCGAATTAAATTTTCGTGAATCCCAAACATGACAATAGGCTCAAAAGCCAAGTGCTAAGGAGAGGGGATTTTCTAGAAGCCTGGAGGATTAGATCACAGAGTTTTGTGTATGGGAGATCCCTGCAAGGCAGGAAGGGGGAGGGGGAGGCAGCTCTTTTATTTCCAAGGATGGTGGGAAAGGGGGAGGTGGGCATTCAGATGAGCACGGGTCTTCCTGGGTTCCAGTCTGGGAGGAGATGTGTTCAATAAGTTGAGGGGAGCACTCTGTTCTCGGGTATTTGGGGTATTATTTGCAAAGGATATTTGGTCTATTTGCCAAGGTATTTGGGGGTATCTGTGGCCACATCAAAGAAAATGCAGCATATACCATGGGAAGTCTCTGCATACTCTAGAGGCTGATATGGAACTTAGCTGACAGCCCGGCTGGTATCTTGGGAGTTGGGGGAGAGGTTTGTGCCTGGTATTGTAGCCAAGAGCAGACGGCCTGAGTAAGTCTGTATGGAAGTTCAGCCAGACCTCGGGACCTGTGGGGCACAGAGAAAATCCTGAAGGAGACAAGTCAGAGACAACTGAGCCCTGGCCAGACGGCAGCAGAACATCCATCTATTACCTGTGGCCCAGAGCAAGCCCTTGGGCTAGAAGCTGGTAAACCCAGCTGCACAGTTGACTCCCCTGTGGATGAGTCCCAGATGCCCAGGCTCCATGCCTAAAGGTTTGGATGGAATTGGCCTGGCACTGGTATCTTTTTAGAAAGCTACCCAGGGCTTACACACCAGTGAAGTGAACTACTTCCTTCAGGAATAGAAATATCCTCCAAACCGGCTGGGTGTAGTGGCTCACGCCTGTAATCCCAGCACTTTGGGAGGCCGAGGCAGGTGGATCACTAGTCAGGAAATTGAGACCATCCTGGCTAACACGGTGAAACCCTGTCTCTACTAAAAACACAAAAGCAAAATTAGCTGGGCATGGTGATGGGCGCCTGTAGCCCCAGCTACTGGGGAGACTGAGGTGGGAGAATGGCGTGAACCCAGGAGGTGGAGCTTGCAGTGAGCCGAGATCGTGCCACTGCACTCCAGCCTGGGTGACAGAGCGAGACTCCATCTCAAAAAAAAAAAAAAAAAAAAAAAAGAAATATCCTCCACACCAGGGCAAACATGAGGGTGAGGCAAGTGAGGCACCTAGGATGCAAAATTGACAGATGCACTTACTGTCAAGGTCATGTAAGTGCTGTGGTCATGGGACCTTGAGATCACCTCCTTACCTATTGAGGTTAGATGCCTCACTGCCTCGTCCAGCCCTGGCCCTGCTCCACTCTCCTCTCCAGGTAGGTCCCTTCCCTGGGCCCAATTTTTCTTTTTCTTCTTTTCCTTTCCCTTCCCTTCCCTTCCCTTCCCTTCCCTTCCCTTCCCTTCCCTTCCCTTCCCTTCCCTTCCCTTCCCTTCCCTTCCCACCCCCCTCCCCCTTCTCTCCCCGCTTCCCTTCCCCTCCCCTTTCCCCATCCATCCTTCCCTTCCTTTTTCTTTCTTTCTGACAGGATCTCACTCTGTCGCACAAGCTGAAGTGCAGTGGCATGATCACAGCTCCCTGCAACCTTGACCTCCTAGGCTCAAGTGATCCTCCCACCCACCTCAGCCTCTGAGTAGCTGGCACCACTGTGCCCTGCTAATTTTTTATTTTTTGTAGAGATGGGGTTTCACCATGTTGCCCAGGCTGGTCTCAAACTCCTGGGCTCAAGCCATCTGCCCGCCTTGGCCTCCCAAAGCACTAGTGTTAAAGGAGCCACCGTGCCTGGCCCCTGGGCCCAGTTTTTAGAAGTAACCCCAGCTATGAGTCCCTCTACTTTGGAAGCCATCTGAAGAGCACAGATGAAAGTTTCATGGGGCCAAGGGACCAGCTGGGGAATCGGTTTGGGAAAAGAGTTGGCAGAAAACCAAAAAATGAGCAGATTAAATTACTACCTTAACCACTTTGCTGGTTTCTGGGATGAGAACGACATGACATGACTATTAGCTGCCAGATGCAGCTTCGTCATTTCTACCAGCTCTCCAAAGCCATGACATTTTGGTTTACTGACTGTAGGGGAGGGTGGACTAGGTCCAGGGTTCTTTAGAAAGGAATTCAAGTTACACAAACCAATGTGTGTTCACGGTCTGTTGCAGTCTCAAAGAAAAAGTGTGTGTGCCTGCCTCCAAATAGCATGTGGGTGAGACTCGGGGGGCCTTGCATGGCTCCTGGTTGCTCATCATCTGTCTCACCCAGAAATCCATCCCAGCCATGGTGAATCAGAATTGTCACCATGGAAGGCAGACCTTTGAGAAGCATTTGGAACCGCTCAGTTTGTTAGTGTGAGCTCAGGGCTCCAGTGAATGGTCCAGTACTGTGCATAAGCCCAGGGCTTGACACGCTAGAACAAATGTGTCCTTTGTAAATAAGAAGTGACCTTTGTTTCCCTCTGCCCCAGCGTCCCCCTACCCTTGCTTCATCCTGGCCTCAGTACTGACCCTGGATCCCCCAGACAGAAACCTGACCTGGCCTTGCCAATGGAATTGGACACCCTAAGCCACGAGAGAGCTGGGATGGGGGCATCACTCCGTGTTCGAATACAAAGTCCTTCTTATTGGGATAAGAGCGAGGGCCCTGGCCTGTAGGAGCAGAACTGTGTTCTAAACTGCCAGAGCACCTTCTAAAGCCTGGTTTTGGCCGGGCACGTGGCTCATGCCTGTAATCCCAGCACTTTGGGAGGCTGAGGTGGGTGGATCACCTGAGGTCGGGAGTTTGAGACCAGCCTGACCAACATGGAGAAACCCCTTCTCTACTAAAAATACAAAAAATTAGCTGGGCGTGGTGGTGCATGCCTGTAATCCCAGCTACTCAGGAGGCTGATGTAGGAGAATCGCTTGAACCTAGGAGGTGGAGGTTGCAGTGAGGTGAGATCACGCCATTGCACTCCAGCCTGGGCAACAAGAGCAAAACTCTGTCTCAAGAAAAGCCTGGTTCTGTTTCTATCACCCCTTTCTCAGCTTTGGCAGTGGTAGGAAAGTTATCGCAGAGGAAGGGTTGGTAGACAGGGGACTAGCATCTGGTCACGCCACTGACTCCCAGCTGCTGCTTAGGGTCCTGTCGGCAGCCTCTGGCCCAGGTCACAAACCTTCAAATCCTGAAGCAATTTCCTTTAGAATAATCAATCATTTGAGGTCTGACTTCCTTCAGATCTGATGGCTTATTCAGGTCTACTGTAGAGGGGATCTGCCTGTTCTCTGGGCTCTGGAGGTGATTAACATGTGAGCAGCTGTGGAAGCTCTCTAATGAACTAGGCCACTTAAGCTCAAGGAGTTCTTTCTCTCTCTGCGGTAATTTCTGCTGAGAGAAGCAGCATCAATGACCCATAAAACTCAAGAGCTTTTTCCCTTACCCATTTGCTGGGATCTATTAATCTCATACCATAGCCAGCAGCTAACCCATCTGCAAGACACCTGGTCTTGATTTAATTAATGTGCAAAGCCAAAGAACATCAGGCAGGTAAAAATCTGCAATTAACAACTGTCTCTCAAGATTTTCTTTGTTGGGTCCTGCTTCTCCCCCTTTCAGGCAGAGGGAGGGATGAGAAGGAATCAAAGGCAAATACAGTTTAATTCCATCTTGAGTAATTGCTCCGGAAAGGCTCTAAAAGAATTGCTGGCTGTTTAACTCAGCAATTTGAACTTGCATTTAGGAACATCATCAAACTGTAAGTGCTTTGATCTTTTTTATGCTTCTGTACATAAGAAAACCAAACACGCCCAATTCCTATGCTGTGTTGTCATAAGAATTAGAAACTCTTGGCACACAGCTGTCAGTAAGAGGTTCGGGAGGGGCTGGCTTTTCTTGAAGGAGGAAACAGCTGAATGCCTCAGAGTGAGCATCAAAAGACAGGCCAGGAGGCTGGAGCTCTGGACTCTGTTCCCAGTGGCTCCCGAGATGACACTGGGCAGGACATGCCCCTTCCTGGCCTTCATTTTCTAGTCTGTAAAAGAAGGGAGTGGAACCAGATGGTTTCCATATTTTGAAGTCCTCCCTCCCCAAACCCCTAGGCTCTGCCATTCTTTGCTTCTAGGAAACACATTCCTTTCTCACACCGCAAACCCAGAGGTGAGGGAGGTTAGGCAATGGCAAAGGTAACTAGGCACAGAAACTTGCTCTGCGGGCTCGATTAGCAACACATTTCAGGAAAAGGTCAGCAACTGTGGATTCTGAGATTTCTTTGAACAGTTACACCTTGGATAGAGTGTAGAACCTGTAGCCACAGAGGACAGCAAAATTAACTGGCCTGGGTCGGGGATGTTTGGGGCACCTGTGAGCTCAGCCTTAATCAGCGTCACATGCTCTGCAGAAACACTAGAAACCCACCAGGGTTTTAGGCAATCAAAAGCAATGCCATTGCTTTCCGTGTTATTGTACGCTCTTCTTCTTTTGGGGTGGGAGAGCAGAACTGGGACAACAGGGGCAGTAACCTGTTCATTCATTTCTCTGCTCATGCATTCACTCAGCAGATGCTAAACACCTACTATACACAGGCCCTAGGGATGCGTAGGAACTGGATGAAGCATGGCCCAGAGGCTGCCAATGGTTCTCTGAGCTTCGCTTCTTTGACACTTTCGGGTTATGTATTAGATCTGTAATAAGAGGCTGGGCGCAGTGGCTCACACCTGTAATCCCAGCACTTGAGGAGGCTGAGGCAGGAGAATCGCTTTAGCCCAGGAGTTTAAGACCAGCCTGGGCAACATGACGAAATCCCATCTGTAAAAAAAAAAAGCTTTTTTAAAATTAGCCAAGTGTGGTGGCACGTGCCTGTAGCCCCAGCTACTCAGGAGGCCGAGGTGGCAGCATCACCTGAATGTGGGGTCGGGTTGGGGTCGAGGCTGTAGGGAGCTGTGATTGCACCATTGCACTCCAGCCTGGGTGACAGAGTGAAACCCTGACTCAAAAAAAAAAAAAAAATCTGTAACAAGAGAAAGCCATTCACAAGGAAACGTATCTTTTTTCTAGCTCTTAATGAATAATGAGCCGGACAACCACAGGTCCTTAACTAAGTACGCTTATCACTGTCGGTAGAGTTCCTATTTGTCCTTCAGAGTCCACCTACTTCCCCTGGAAAGCCTCTCCTCGTATTTCCGGGCAGACATGATCTCTCTGTCTTCTGGTCATCAGTAGCATTTGGTTGGTCCCACTCAGCTGGCTGACGCTCAACTAGCACGATTTTTTATTGTGCCTGTGTTTTTCCTCCTTTAGACTGGTAGCTCCTCAAGGGCAGAGACTATTGAGGCAGAAGAAGAATGAGACCATGAGGAAGTGGTCAGTATCCTGGCTATGAGTCTGTATTAGTCTCTAAGTTTTACCATGCAGGGAAACTGGGTAAAGAATACAAAGGATCCCTCTGGGTTATTTAGTACTACTGCGGATTCATCTACAATTATTTCAGAAAGTTTCATTAGAAAAAGATGCATGGACTCATAAAGCCTCAAAGTTGAAAGCAACTCAAGAGGTCACTTAGCCCTGTCATTCTCCAACATGTGAATTTCTGTGACTGCGTCTCACCCACAGATTCACCCAGCCTCCTTTTCAAATTCTAGTAAGGGAGAATTCACTGTCTCATGAGAAACAGCATTACTTTTTAAGACAATTCCATTTTGAGACAAAATTGGCCAGGCTGTAACTTCCTTCTTGGGCCCACGTGAATGCATTGGTCTCTTATCCCCATGACAACCCTTCGGGTATGTAAAGGTGATCGTTATGGCCTTCTGGGTCTCCTCCAGGCTGCAGGGTTTCAGTTCTCTGAATTTACCTCCATAATTTTGAGTTCTTGTAGCATCCTTGAGTCTTTTTATCTGCATGCATGCACTTTTTTTTTTTCAGACAGAGTCTCACTCATTCGCCCAGGCTGGAATGCAGTGGCATGATCTTGTCTCACTGCAGCCTCTGCCTCCCGGGTTCAAGCAATTCTCCTGCCTCATTCTCCCGAGAAGCTGGGATTACAGGCGCCCACCATGATGCCTGTATTTTTCTATCTTTAGTACAGATGGTGTTTCACTATGTTGGCCAGGCTGGTCTTGAACTCTTGACCTCAAGTGATCCACTTGCCTCAGCCTCCCAAAGTGCTGGGATTACAGGCGTGAGCCACCACACCCAGCCTATCTGCATGTTCTTTATATGTTACTATGATCCGAAGCAGGATTCTGTTTCAGATCATAGTAACGTTTGAACTTGCTAATGTAGTCCTTACCTGTATTCAAGCCAGTAGCATCAGTAGCGTTCTGGCCAGTAAAACACTACTGGTTTGAATACAGTTAAGAACTACATCAGCAAGTTCATACTAACTCTATACCATTGACTCATATTAAATGTGAAGTCCACAAAAACCTTTCAATCTTTTAGTTACACCAGCTGCACTCAAACTCTGCTTCCCTTATGTTGGTGATTATTGTTTCGTTTTATTTTGTTGACTCAGATGTGGGACTTTATATTTCTCTATACCTGGCTGCAGTGCCACAGATTCATCAGCTGAAAACATGCGGGAGGTAAGTCTGTGTACATGCTGCGTGGGCTGGACTGCACCCACAGCAGCGTGCCCAGAGACATATGAGTACTTCCAGCGCTGGCAACCCTGGGGTATCGCTCATTGTTGTCGAATAGCAGAATCAGTTTATTTTTATTGCAACTATTGACTGTGGAACAGCTTAGCAGAACCTCCTGGGTTTCACAACTCTTCCGGCTCTATTACATATGCGTAACGATGCCAGCCTGGCTCCCATCCTCTCTCCCCATCCCCACAGAGATGCCTACGGGGAATGAGAGCATCGGGTTAAAGCCCCGTGTTAAGCATCTGGGCTCAGGGAGACAGGGAGGATGTGTCTGTGGGAACTTAGAGGGCACAGCCATCTCACCCACAAATAAATGAGAGGAGAAGGCAAGGATTGTAGCCTGTTTGGAGCACAGCGGGAAACATCACCTGCTTATGTAAAACCTGTGAGATTCAGCTCTTTCTGGGAAGGCATAAACTCAGTCTAGAGCCCCAAGCTTCATCTTACCCTGTGTTCTTTTCCTTTGCTTATCTCAGCATCAGAGCACTGTTGTGTTGGCCCATGAGAGAGCAGGGGAAGTATATCCTCATCTCTCCCCGCATTTAAACACCTGCAAATGCATTTGAACCAGGGCCTGAAGTAGAGGCGGGATTCTGACAACAGCTAAAGAGGAAGGGCACACCAAGAAGACAGGTCAGTTGTGTCAAGATTGTGGCAGGAATGGAATCCAGGATAATAGGAGCCTGGGAGGCCAAGGCTGCAGTGAGCCAAGATTGGACCACTGCACTCCAACCAGGACAACAGAGCAAGACCCTGTCTCAAACAAAAACAAAAGCCCCAAATGCATGCCTACATGATGCCTTCCTGAGTTCTTTCGATGAGTGTAATCTCTCTCTTCTCTGTGTTTCTCTCTTCTGTCTGAGCAAAGCCATCATTTGCAAGCTCCACCATCCTGACAGGGTTCACAGAGGAGTGTTACACTTGGTATTGGGACTTGCCTCATGTGGACCCTATTTTGTCCCGCTTCCAGCTAGTCTATGTCTGTGGCCTACTGCTTGGTGTCCCCCAACATCCATTCTTCCCTTTTTCCATAGCAGTAGACATTTTAGCAGAGCACATGGTCACCCAAAATAAATAGGATTCCCAGGCTTCCCAGCTAGGTGTGGCCATGTGACCAAGTTCTGGCCAACAGGATGTGAGGTGCCCGCATGGGGAAGGGGCCTGTCCAACCTGGTTCCCTTCTGCCTGTCCACGGGTGGAATGCGGATGTGGTGGTGAGTTATGCTGAACAATGCACATGAGGGCGACAATCTAGACATGCCAGAACAAGAAGAGAAAAGAAGCTTGAGCCTCCAATGACTTCACTGAGCAGGGTCATTTTATCAGACTTCACTTAATAAATACATGTCTTTTTTTTTTTTTTTTTGAGATGGAGTCTTGCTCTGTTGCCCAGGCTGGAGTGCAATGGCACGATCTCAGCTCACTGCAACCTCTGCCTCCCGGGTTCAAGTGATTCTCCTGCCTCAGCCTCCCAAGTAGCTGGGACTACAGGTGCCTGCCACCACGCCCGGCTAATTTTTGTATTTTAAGTAGAGATGGAGTTTCACCATATTGGTCAGGCTAGTCTCGAACTCCTGAACTTGTGATCCACCCGCCTTGGCCTCCCAAAGTACTGGGATTACAGACATGAGCCACCGCACCTGGCCCACGTCTATCTTTTTAAAACCACAGTTACTCTGGGTCTCTGTGCCATGTAGCTGAGCCTGTATCCTAACTAATATAGCATCCCACCCCACTTACGCTTGGCCTCCATGGGCTTCCCCCTCTCCGTGCCTCTCTACCCTCCAGCCCACTGCCTTAGCTCCCAGCCTCTTGGCTTGTCCCTCCTGCCTTGCCCTGACCCAACCTCCTGAGAGGCTTTTCTGGCACTGCCCTGACAGGCAGGCATGTCAGGGGCAGAGTACTGGGGGTCAGGCTGGCATTTCCAGATTCTGTTTGCTTTCAGCTCCAACCCTTGCTCGTTGGGTATTAGACACTAAGCACTTCGTGTCTCCTGAGCCATCATCTCGTCAACTTGGTCTCCCAGTAACTTACTCATAGCAGGCCCTTAATCAACGTGTCTAGATCCCCATCCCAGGATTCCTAGAGCTCCACAATGAGTCCTGAATGGTGCCAAATGCTGTGGGCTCATTACTAGCTTTTCCCAGTTATTGAAGCCTATCCAGCTGGAAAACGCAATTGGATCAATAAATCAACTTGCCAAATGCTTCCCAACTGGGGCTCTTCCAAGAAGTTTTTCTCTCCAGTAAAACGGGGAGCATTATGGCATCCAGTCCTACTCAGTCCCAGGCACCTCAGCTTCCCTGAGATGAGCTATGCCCACCTACGACCTTGAAGTGTTAAGTGACACACCCAGAGCAGGTTAAGTCTTAATCACTGATCCGAGAAGAAAGACTTGGTTAGTACTGTAATTCCAGTAACACTTAAAAATAACTTCTCCTGGGGAACTGAGTGGGAAAATTGACTGGGAAATACAATGGAACCCCTTAATTAAGCAGCTGATAAGAGAACAGGTGCACCCCCTGTGCTAGACTTTCTAGGGCGAGGAGAGCTGGAAGACTTGCTCCTGTGTACCAGAGGGCATGGTTTCACCTGCAGCATCAAATCGGGGGAAAAGGAGACATGTTTGGGTGGGACTTTACCACCCCCTCTTCCAGTGACTAGTGTGGAGAAGATGCAATAGAGACTCAGAAGTCATTGGATATAGGCCAGGCATGGTGGCTTACGCCTGTAATCCCAGCACTTTGGGAGGCCAAGGCAGACGGATCACTTGAGGTCAGGAGTTCAAATCCAGCCTGGCCAACATGGGGAAACCCTGTCTGTACTAAAAACACAAAAATTGGCTAAGCGTGGTGGCACATGCCTGTAATCCCAGCTACTCAGGAGGCTGAGGCAGGAGAATCACTTCAACCCAGGAGGTGGAAGTTGCAGTGAGCTGAGATTGCGCCACTGCACTCCAGCCTGGGTGACAGAGCGAGACTCCGTCTTAAAAAAAAAAAAAAAAAGGAAATCATTGGATATAGAGGACAGAGCATCAACTCAGAAGTGAGAAAACCATGTCCCGAGTAGCAGCTCCGCACTTCCTGCTTCCTGGGTGGCCATAAGCAAGTCCCCGAAGCTTCCTGGCTCATTCTCCTCATCGTCCTAGTGGGAGGAGGCGATGACGTGTTCTCTGAGCCCCTTGCAGTTGCAGCATTCTGGGAGGCTGGTGCTTTTCCATGGTCATCTGCTTCATGGTTTCCTTCAGCAGCTCTCTGCCTTTACCCCAGCCTTGCTATCCACACTTTCCGATGACTCCTCACTCCTCCCTGCCGTCTGCTCCTCCTGTCGCTGAATTAGACATTCAAGCACACTCAGAGTTTTCCATAAACACAGAATCGCATGAACAGCAAACAGAGAGGGCCTGGAGGCGGACGCAGCACGGAGCCAGGTCGCTGTGAGCCAGGCTCTGTCGCTGCCTCTCGGGCCTGTTATTTATTGGCGCCGGCTCTGAGCCCAGCCCCGTGCCGGAGCGTAGGGAAGGCAGGGAAAGGTGCTGGGGTTCCTCTGTTCATTTCAGTAATTTCTTCAGGACTCTTGAGTTGTTTTCGTTCTATTTTTCCAGCCAGTTCCAAAGTCTTACCACACATCCTCACCACCTCATTCAGTCATTGACATGGTCCTTCTCTTTTTTTTTTTTTTTTTTTTTTTTTTTGAGATGGAGTTCTGCTCTGTCACCCAGGCTGGAGTGCAGTGACGCAATCTCGGCTCACAGCAACCTCTGCCTCCCGGGTTCAAGCAATTCTCCTGCCTCAGCCTCCCGAGTAGCTGGGATTACAGGCACCCGCTACCATGCCCGGCTAATTTTTGTATTTTTAGTAGAGACGAGGTTTCACCATCTTGGCCAGGCTGGTCTGGAACTCCTGACCTCGTGATCCACCCTCCTCGGCCTCCCAAAGTGCTGGGATTACAGGCGTGAGCCTCCGCGCCCCGTCCACAGTCCTTCTTTAATTCCTCTTTTTCCCACCTGACTGAATCATTGTAAGCTCTCCAATAATGGCTTATGAGCCGGTAATAATAGTGACTGGCTCCCAAAGGAAAGAGTATCAAAATGATCAGTATCTGGATGCCGCCTGCCGGCTCCGAGCGCACTTACTCAGGTTCTCTGTGCCACAGCAACAGCTTGGCTTTATTTCATTAAATCCCTGTTTTGCCCGTGGCAGATGGCAAAAATAGCCACAAGAGTTTCACCTCGTCTCATCAATAGGGGAGCCTATTTCCCCACTCCTTTTTTTTTAAATTGTGATAAGATATACGTACCATAACATTTACCATCTTAACCATTTCAGCACGTACCGTTTCGTGGTATTTAGTATGTTCACACTGTTGTACCATCGTCACCACCATCCATCTCCAGAACTTTCTCATCTTGTGAAACTGAAAGCCTGCACACATTAAACAGCCTCTCCACTTCCCCCTCCTGCAAGGCAGGAGAACTGCTTGAACCCGGGAGGCAGAGGTTGCTGTGAGCCGAGATCGCGCCACTGCCCTCCAGCCTGGATGACAGAGCAGAACTCCACCTCAAAAAAAAAAAAAAAAAGAGAAAGACCATGTCGATGAGTGAATGAGGTGGTGAGGATGTGTGGTAAGACTTTGGAACTGGCTGGAAAAATAGAACGAAAACAATTCAGAGTCCTAAAGAAATGGAATAATACAATATTTGTCCTTTGGTGTCTGGCCTATTTCACTTAGTGTAATACCTTCAAGGTCCACCTATGTTTTAACATGTAGTAGAATTTCTTTCCTTTTTAAGGCTGAATAATATTCTGCTGTTTGTATACAACACCTTCTGTTTATCTATTTATCTGTCGATGGACATGTTGATGGCATCCACCTTTTGGCGACAGTGAATAATGCTGCCGTGAATGTGTATGTCGAATCCCTGAGTCCCTGCCTTCAGTCCCTGGGGTACACATCCAGAACTCGAATTGCTGGATCATATGGTGATCCTATGTTGAATCTTTTGAGGATTCACCATTTTCCACAGCAGCTGCACCATGTGACATTTCCCACCAATAAGCATTCCAAGTTTTCCATATCCCTGCCAACACTTATTTTCTGTTTGTTGTTGTTGTTTATTTTTTATTTGAGTTTTATTTTTTTCTGAGACAGAGTCTCGCTCTGTCACCCAGGCTGGAGTGCAGTGGTGTGATCTCGGCTCACTGCAACCTCCACCTCCTGGGTTCAAGCAATTCTTCTGCCTCAGCCTCCTGAGTAGCTGGGATTACAGGTGCGCGCCACCATGCCCGGCTAATTTTTGTATTTTTAGTAGAGACGGGATTTCACCATGTTGGTCAGACGGGTCTCGAACTCCTGACCTTGTGATCTGCCCGCCTCGGCCTCCCAAAGTGCTGGGATTACAGGCGTGAGCCATCGCGCCCAGCCTGTTGTTTATAATAGCTATCCTGGTGAGTGTGAAGTGGTATCTTGTGGTTTTGGTTTGCATTTCCCTAACAATTAGTGATGTTGAGATTTTCATGTGCTAGTGGCCATCTATATATCTTCTTGGGAGGTTTATAAGTTCCCCACTCCTTGGGGAGTGTGAGCCACTAGAGTGACCAACCATCGTGGTTTGTCCAGAGCTTTATCAGTTTTTGTATTGAAAGTTTTGCATCTTGGGAAACCCCTCCGTTCTGGGAAAACCGGGATAGTTGATCACCCAGCTGGCCTGTACCTTCCTTGATCAACAGAGTGCATTAGAAATGACAGTGTACAGGTTCCCAGCCTAGGCCTCAAGGGGCTTTGACGCTTCCTCCCTTGCTGCTCTTGGGAATCTGCTGCTGCATGAACAAACCTGTGCTAGCCTGTGCTGGTTGATGAGAGACATGTGACTGGCCAGCCCATAACTCTTGCTAACAGCCTGCTAGCGGCCAGACATGTGAACGGGGCCATCCTCAATCATTCAACTGCCAGCCGACCTGCCAGCTGACTGCAGGTGCATGAGAGCCCAGCAGCACTCAGCCAAGCTGGCCCAGACCAGGAGACCTGCCCAGCCAGCCCACAGAACTGAAAGCTAAATAAATGACTGTTGTTGTAAGTCGCTATGTTTTGGAATGATGTGTTACTCATACAGGCCCACATAAAAGATGCTTTGGCCATTGTCCCCATAAGATCTTTGCTGTAGACAGGATACTCCTGCCCCACCATATTCCTATTCAATCATTCTTCATGAGAAAATCTTTACCTACTTTTTTATAATAGCCTGGCCACGGAAGCAGCCAAGAGACCATTCACTATCTCTGCCAAAAGCCGACAAAATCCTTCCTCTCATCCAAGCTCTTTGTCCTTCCCTCATCATCCACTTTTTACTGAACAAAGAGAGATGTGCTCACTACATTTAAGGGCTGAAATGGCAGGAAGAGCCCTTTCTGGCAGTGTTGCCAGACACTGTTTCTGACAGGGTCTATTTTTCTCTTGCCTCTATTTTTCTTCCTGATTACAACACACCTGGGAGAATTTCTGACTTGCTTGAAATGCTCTTTCTACAGTTGGCTGCAGCTTCTGTGCCAATACTCCTGTTCAGCCTGCATGGTTCCCTGCACGGTTGTGATGGAGATGAACTGTTTTCACACAGGAGCCTGATCATTGTAGCTTCTGTGACTGTTTCAGAGCTCTTCACAGTGTCTCACTCGGGAAACTTGAAGTCAAGCAAGAGTCTCAGGAGTCTTCTTCTGAAGGAGATCTGCTTTCTGCTGGAAAGTTCCGGCTCTTAACCCTTTCAAGAAACACTGAATTGTTACTTATTTATTTGATAATGAGGGCACAAAATATGCAGAATGTTTCGTTTTCCTTTTTTTTTTTTTTTTTTTTTTGAGACAGAGTTTCACTACTGTTGCCCAGGCTGGAGTGCAATGGCGCGATCCGGGTTCAAGCGATTCTCCTGCCTCAGCCTCCCGAGTAGCTGGGATTACAGGCATGCGCCACCACGCCCGGCTAATTTTGTATTTTTAGTAGAGATGGGGTTTCTCCATGTTGGTCAGGCTGGTTTCAAACTCCTGACCTCAGGTGATCTGCCTGCCTCAGCCTCCCAAAGTGCTGGGATTACAGGCGTGAGCCACTGCGCCTGGCCAGAATGTTTCTTTTTCTTCCTCTATTCAGCCCTTGAGGGACCCTTTCACCTGCAAACTAGCTGCAGCACTGCCCTGGCCTCATGGACTTTGGATGGTGGAACTGATTCTTAGCCTCAGAGTGATAAGAATTCCATTCCAGGGTTCTTTCCCTAGTCCTGGATCAAGAAAGATAGAGCCATACAAAGTCAGAATTTCAAGAACTTTTGAAATCAACTGTCCCAATATTGCCACATTACAGATGGAGAAACTGAGGGCCAGACGTGCTCAAAGTCTGGAAGTGACCTGCCCAAGGCTGCCAGCAAGGTGGTGATGCCTAGAACCATGACCCTCTGACCCCCAGTTTGTACCATCTCAACTACCAATTGCTGCCTGCATTCTCCAGTTTTCCAATAGTGCTTTGGTTGATTTTTGAAAAATGGATTAGGAGAAGTAAAAGGAAGCCAAGGGTTTTCTGCAGACCAGCCTGTTGGGCAGCAGAGCAGAGGGCAGTGCCACCAAGGTGAGAGACCTCAGAAAGCCTCCTTCCATCTTCTCCTTGATGTGAGAATATCCATAGGACAGAAACTCAGAAAGGAAAGGGAACGAGGTCCTTCACCCACGCCAGCATATGAACAACTGTAAGGAGGAGAACACCTTCGCCTCCTTGCCTTTTAATTTTATTTAGTAAACACATTTCTTATGAATGGACACAACTTTTCCAGAGGAAAACCCCTTAAAGAGTAAATGTCTCTGTTTCTGTTCCTTTTTTTTTTTACTTTTTTTTTGAGACGGAGTCTCACTCTGTAGCCCAGGCTGGAGTGCAGTGGCGTGATCTTGGCCCACTGCAAACTCTGCCTCCTGGGTTCAAGCGATTCTCCTGTCTCAACTTCTCAAGCAGCTAGGATTACAGGTCCCTGCCACCATGCCCAGCTAATTTTTGTATTTTTAGTAGAGACAGGGTTTCATTATGTTGACCAGGCTGGTCTCGAACTCCTGAACTCGTGATCCACCCGCCTCGGCCTCCCAAAGTGCTGGGATTACAGGCGTGAGCCACCGCACCCGGCCTTCTGTTCCCTTTTGACTCTTCTCAAGTTTTCATGTTGTGTAACCAGTGTGAATACTTTTCAGCTACCTTTTTTCTTTAATATCATTTCATACTCAGAAATTGTTGTGTGAATACAGTCCTCATGTTTATGAGGTTTTTTGTCTGTTTGTTTGTTTCTGAGATGCAGTCTTGCTCTGTTGCCCAGGCTGGAGTACAATGGTGCGATCTTGGTTCACCGCAACCTCTGCCTCCCCGGTTCAAGCAATTCTCCTGCCTCAGCCTCCCAAGTAGCTGGATTTACAGGTGCCCGCCACCATGCCTGGCTAATTGTTGTATTTTTAGTAGAGATGGGGTTTCACCATGTTGGCCAGGCTAGTCTTGAACCCCTGATCTCAGGTGATCCTCCCATCTTGACCTCCCAAAGTGCCAGGATTACAGGTGTGAGCCACTGTGCCTGGCCTGTGAGTTTTAATTATAATACTGTATTTATTATGTGAGTGCATCCTAATTTGCTTTCCAATTTGCATCAGGTTGAATATTTGCAGTAGTTCTAATTCATTAGTATTAATAACACCAATATGATTATTTTTGCATCCATAGCTCCTTTATCCCTTTGGGTTTATTTATTCAGGGTGTGCTTCTGTATCCGTAGGTAGAATGATTCAATCAAGGTGAGGTCTCGGCTCTTGCTATTACCTTGCCAGATTATTATCCGGAAAGATGCAACCAATTTGTAGGGTCTCCAGTACCATTTATTTATTTATTTATTTATTTATTTATTTATTTATTTATTTATTCATTTATTTTTGGAGACATCTGCAAAGCATTTGGAATAGTTCACGATCCATAGTGTATTTGTGATAGTTTACCATCTACTATCTGCAGCTCATTTGGGATAGTTTACCATCTGCAGCGCATTTGGGATAGTTTACTATCTGCAGCGCATTTGGGATAGTTTACCATCCGTAGTGTATTTGCGAGAGTTTACGATCTGCAGCGCATTTGGGATAGTTTACCATCTGTAGTGCATTTGTGATAGTTTACCATCCGTAGTGTATTTGCAATAGTTTACTATCTGTAGCACATCTGGGATAGTTTACTATCTGCAGTGCATTTGGGATAGTTTACTATCTGCAGCGCATTTGGGATAGTTTACTATCTGCAGCTCATTTGGGATAGTTTACCATCCGTAGTGTATTTGCGAGAGTTTACGATCTGCAGCGCATTTGGGATAGTTTACTATCTGCATTGCATTTGGGATAGTTTACTATCTGCAGCGCATTTGGGATAGTTTACCATCAGCAGCGCATTTGGGATAGTTTACTATCTGTGGCACATTTGGAATAGTTTACTATCTTCAGCACATTTGGGATAGTTTACTATCTGTAGCACATTTTGTATAGTTTACTATCTGTAACACATTAGGGATAGTTTACTATCTGCCTTGCATTTGGGATAGTTTACTATCTGCATCACATTTGGGATAGTTTACTATCTGTAGCATATTTGGGATAGTTTACTGTCTGTAGTGCATTTGGGATAGTATACTATCTGCAGCACATTTGGGAGAGTATACTAACCATAGTGTATTTGTGATAGTTTACTATCTGCAGCACATTTGGGATACTTTACTATCCATAGTGTATTTGCAATAGTTTACTATTTGCAGTGTGTTTGGGTTAGTTTACTATCTGCCTTGCATTTGGAATAGTTTACCGTCTGCAGCGCATTTGGGATTGTTTACTGCCTGCCTTGCATTTCGGATAGTTTACTATCTGCAGTGTATTTGGGATAGTTTACTCTTCATAGTGTAGTTGCAATAGTTTACTTTCTGCAGCACATTTGGGATAGGTTACTCTCCATACTGCATTTGGGATAATTTAATATCTGCACCACGTTGGGGGATAGTTTACTATCTGTAGCCCATTTTGGATAGTTTACTATCTGTAGCATATTTGGGATAGTTTACTATGTGCAGTGCATTTGGGATAGTTTACTATCTGCCTTGCATTTGGGATAGTTTAATATCTGCCTTGCATTTGGGATAGTTTCGTATCTGCCTTGCATTTGGGATAGTTTAGTATCTGCACTGCATTTGGGATAGTTTACTATCTGCAGCGCATTTGGGATAGTTTACTCTCTGCACTGCAGTTGGGATAGTTTACCATCCATAGCACATTTGGGATAGTTTACCATCTGCAGCGCATTTGGGATAGTTTACCATCAGCAGTACATTTGGGACAGTTTACCATCTGCAGTGCATTTGGGATAGTTTACCATCCATAGCACATTTGGGATAGTTTACCATCTGCTGTACATTTGGGACAGTTTACCATCTGCAGCGCATTTGGGATAGTTTACTATCTGCAGCACAGTTGAGATACTTTACTATCTGTAGTGTATTTGTGATAGTTTACTATCTGCAGCACAGTTCAGATAGTTTACTATCTGTAGTGTATTTGTGATAGTTTACTATGTGCAGCACATGTGGGATAGTTTACTCTCCATAGCACATTTGCGATAGTTTTCTATCTGCAGTGCATTTGGGATAGTTTACCATCTGCCTTGTATTTGGGATAGTTTACTATATGCCTCGCATTTGGGATAGGTTACTGTCTGCCTTGCATTTGGGATAGTTTACTATCTGCAGGGCAGTTGCGATAGTTTACCATCTGTAGTGTATTTGTGATAGTTTACTATCTGCAGCGCATTTGGGATAGTTTAGAATCCATAGTGTATTTGCGATAGTTTACTATCTACAGCGCATTTGTGATAGTTTACTATCTGTAGCACATTTGGGATAGTTTACTGTCTGCAGCACATTTGGGATAGTTTACTATCTGTAGCACATTTGGGATAGTTTACAATCTGCAGCACATTTGGAATAGTTTACTATCTGCAGCACATTTGGGATAGTTTACTATGTGTAGCACATTTTGGATAGTTTACTATCCATAGTGTATTTTGATAGTTTACTATCTGTAGTGCACTTGGGATTGTTTACTATCTACAGCGCATTTGTGATAGTTTACTATCCATAGTGTATTTTGGTAGTTTACTATCTGCAGTGCACTTGGGATAGTTTACTATCTGCAACACATTTGGGATAGTTTACTCTCTGCAGCACATTTGGAATATTTTACTATCTGCAGCATATTTGGGATAGTTTACTATCTGTAGCACATTTTGGATAGTTTACTATTTGTAGCACATTTGGGATAGTTTACTATCTGCACCACATTTGGGATAGTTTACTATCTGCAGTGTATTTGGGATAGTTTACCATCTGCACTGCATTTCGTATAGTTTACTATCTGCTCTGTATGTGGGATAGTTTACTATCTGCAGCGCATTTGGGATAGTTTGCTATCTGCAGCAGATTTGAGATAGTTTACTATCTGTAGTGCATTTGGGATAGTTTACTATCCATAGCCCATTTGGGATAGTTTACTATCTGCAGTTCATTTGGGATAGCTTACCATCTGTAGTGCATTTGGGATAGTTTACTATCCATAGCACATTTGGGATAGTTTACTATCTGCCTTGCATTTGGGATAGTTTAACATCCATAGTGCATTTGGGATAGTTTACTATCTGCAGCACATTTGGGATAGTTTACAATCTGAAGTGTATTTGTGATAGTTTACTGTCTGCAGCACATTTGGGATAGTTTAATCTCCATAGCACATTTGGGATAGTTTTCTATCTGTAGCACATTTGGGATAGTTTACTTTCTGCCTTGCATTTTGGATAGTTTACTCTCTGCATCACGTTTGGAATAGTTTACTATCTGCAGCACATTTGTGATAGTTTACTGTCTGTAGTGCATTTGGGATAGTACACTATCTGCAGCGCATTTGGGATAGTTTACTATCTGCACCACATTTGGGATAGTTTACTATCCGTAGTGCATTTCCAATAGTTTACTACCTGCAGCGCATTTGGAATAGTTTAGTATCTGCAGCACATTTGGGATATTTCACTATCTGTAGCACATTTTGGATAGTTTACTATCTGCAGCACATTTAGGATAGTTTACTATCTGCAGCGTATTTGGGATAGTTTACCATCTGCACCGCATTTCGGATAGTTTAGTATCTGCACTGTATTTGGGATAGTTTATCATCTGTAGGGCATTCGGGATAGTTTACCATCTGCAGTGCATTTGGGATAGTTTACCATCTGCACCACATTTGGGATAGTTTACTATCTGCTCTGTATTTGGGATAGTTTACCATCTGTAGTGCATTTGGGATAGTCTACTATCTGCAGCACATTTGGGATAGTTTAGTATTTGTGGCACATTTGGGATAGGTTACTATCTGCCTCGCATTTGGGATAGTTTACCATCCACAGTGCATTTGGCATAGTTTACTATCTGCCTCGCATTTGCCATAGTTTGCTATCCACAGCGCATTTGGGGTAGTTTACTATCCACAGTGCATTTGGGATAGTTTACTATCTGCTCTGTTTTTGGGATAGTTTACAATCTGTAGTGCATTTGGGATAGTTTACTATCTGTGGCACATTTGGGATAGTTTACTATTTGTGGCACATTTGGGATAGGTTACTATCTGCCTCGCTTTTGGGATAGTTTACTATCCACAGCGCATTTTGGGTAGTTTACTATCTGCAGTGCATTTGGGATAGTTTACCATCTGCCTTGTATTTGGGATAGTTTACTATCTGCCTCGCATTTGGGGTAGCTTACTATCTGTCTTGCATTTGGGATAGTTTACTATCCAGAGCACATTTGGGGTAGTTTGCTATCTGCAGTGCATTTGGGATATTTTACCATCTGCCTTGTATTTGGGATCATTTACTATCTGCCTCACAATTGAGGTAGTTTACTATCTGGAGCGCAGTTGGGATAGTTTACCATCTGCCTTGTATTTGGGATAGTTTACTATCTGCAGTGCATTTGGGATAGTTTACTATCTGCAGCACATTTGGGATAGTTTACCATCCATAGTGTATTTGCGATAGTTTACTATCTGCAGCACATTTGGGATAGTTTACTATCCGCAATACATTTGGGATACTTTACTATCTGCAGCGTATTTGGGATAGTTTACCATCTGCACTCCATTTCGGATATTTTACTATCTGCACTGTATTTGCAATAGTTTACCATCTGTAGCGCATTTGGGATAGTTTACCATCTGCAGCACATTTGGGATAGTTTACTGTCTGCCTTGCATTTGGTATAGTTTACTATCTGAAGCGCATTTGGGATAGTTCAGCATCCATAGTGTATTTGCGATAGTTTACTATCTGCAGCACATTTGGGATAGTTTACTCTCCGTAGCACATTTGGGACAGTTTACCATCCATAGTGTATTTGCGATAGTTTACCATCTGTAGCACATTTGGGATAGCTTACCATCTGTAGCGCATTTGGGATAGTTTACTATCTGCCTTGCATTTGGGATAGTTTACTATCTGCACTGCATTTGGGATAGTTTACTATCTGCAGCACATTTGGGATAGTTTACTATCCATAGTGTATTTTCGAGAGTTTACTATTTGCAGTGCTTTCGGGATCGTTTACTATCCATAGTGTATTTGCAATAGTTTACTATCTGCAGCGCATTTGGGATAGGTTACTATTAGTAGTGCATATGGGATAGTTTTCTATCTGCACCGCATTGGGGATAGTTTACCATCCATAGTGTATTTGGGATAGTTTTCTATGTGCAGCGCATTTGGGATAGTTTACTCTCTGCCTTGCATTTGGGATAGTTTACTATCTACACCGCATTTAAGATAGTTTACTATCTGTAGCATATTTGGGATAGTTTACTATCTGTAGCGCATTTGGGATAGTTTACTATCTGCCTTGCATTTGGGATAGTTTACTGTCTGCACCGCATTTGGGAAAGTTTACTATCTGCCTTGCATTTGGGATAGTTTACCATCTGTAGCGCATTTGGGATAGTTTAGTATCTGCAGTACATTTGGGATAGTTTACCATCTGCACCACATTTGGGATAGTTTACTATCTGCTCTGTATTTGGCATAGTTTACAATCATTAGCACATTTGGGATAGTTTACTATCTGTGGCACATTTTGTATAGTTTACTATTTGTGGCACATTAAGGATAGATTACTATCTGCCTCGCATTTGGGATAGTTTAACATCCACAGTGCATTTGGGATAGTTTACTATCCACAGTGCATTTGGGGTAGTTTACTATTCGCAGTGCATTTGGGATAGTTTACAATCTGCCTTGTATTTGGGATAGTTTATGATCTTCCTTGTATTTGGGATAGTTTACTATCTGCCTCGCATTTGGGATAGTTTACTGTCTGCCTTGCATTTGGGATAGTTTACTATCTGCAGCACATTTGGGATAGTTTATCATCCGTAGTGTATTTGCGATAGTTTACTATCTGCAGCACCTTTGGGATAGTTTACTATCTCTAGCACATTTGGGATAGTTTACTATCTGCAGCACATTTCCGATAGTTTACCATCTGTAGTGTATATGCGATAGTTTCCTATCTGCAGCACCTTTGGGATAGTTTACTATCTCTAGCACATTTGGGATAGTTTACTATCTGCAGCACATTTCCGATAGTTTACCATCTGTAGTGTATATGCGATAGTTTCCTATCTGCAGCACATTTGGGATAGTTTACTATCTGTAGTGTATTTTGATAGTTTGCTATCTGCAGTGCCCTTGGGATATTTTACTATCTGCAGCACATTTGGGATAGTTTACTATCTGCAGCACATTTGGGATAGTTTACTATCTGTAGCAAATTTTGGAGAGTTTACTATTTGTAGCACATTGGGATAGTTTACTCTCTGCAGTGTATTTGGGATAGTTTACCATCTGCACCGCATTTTGGATAGTTTACTATGTGCACTTTATTTGGGATAGTTTACCATCTATAGCACATTTGGGTTAGTTTACTATCTGCTCTGTATTTGGGAGAGTTTACCATCTGCACCTCATTTGGGATAGTTTGCTATCTGCTCTGTATTTGGGATGGTTTACTATCTGCGGTGCATTTGGGATAGTTTACTATCTGCAGCACATTTGGGATAGTTTACTGTCTGTAGTGTGTTTGCGATAGTTTACTATCTGCCTCACATTTCGGATAGTTTACTGTCTGCAGTGCATTTTGGATAGTTTACTATCCATAATGTATTTGCGATAGTTTACTATCTGCAGCGCATTTGGGATAGTTTACTATCTGCAGCACATTTCGGGTAGTTTACCATCTGCAGCGCATTTGCGATAGTTTACTGTCTGCCTTGCATTTGGGATAGTTCACTATCTGCAGCACATTTGGTATAGTTTACTATCTGCAGTGCATTTGGGATAGTTTACTGTCTGCCTTGCATTTGGGATAGTTTACTATCTGCAGCGCATTTAGGATAGTTTACTATCCGTAGTGTATTTTTGATAGTTTACTATCTGCAGTGCATTTTGGATAGTTTACTATCCATAGTGTATTTGCGATAGTTTACTATCTGCAGCACATTTGGGATAGTTTACTATCTGCAGCACATTTCGGATAGTTTACTATCTGCAGCGCATTAGCAATAGTTTACTATCTGCCTTGCATTTGGGATATTTCACTATCTGCAGCACATTTGGTATAGTTTACTATCTGCAGTGCATTTGGGATAGTTTACTGTCTGCCTTGCATTTGGGATAGTTTACTATCTGCAGCGCATTTGGGATAGTTTACTATCCATAGTGTATTTTTGATAGTTTACTATCTGCAGTGCATTTGGGATAGTTTACTATCCATAGTGTATTTGCGATAGTTTACTCTCTGCAGCACATTTGGGATAGTTTACTATCTGCAGCGCATTTGGGATAGTTTACTATCCATAGTGTATTTGCAATGGTTTACCATCTGCAGCGCATTTGGGATAGTTTACTATCTGCAGTGCATTTGGGATAATTTAGTATCTGCCACACATTTGGGATAGTTTACTATCCATAGTGTATTTGGGATAGTTTACTATCTGCAGCGCATTTGGGATAGTTTACTATCTGCAGCGCATTTGGGATAGTTTACCATCCATAGTGTATTTGCGATAGTTTACTATCTGCAGCGCATTTGGGATAGTTTACTATCTGCCTTGCATTTGGGATAGTTTACTATCTGCAGCGCATTTGGGATAGTTTACCATCCATAGTGTATTTGCGATAGTTTACTATCTGCAGCGCATTTGGGATAGTTTACTGTCTGCCTTGCATTTGGGATAGTTTACTATCTGCAGCGCATTTGGGATAGTTTACCATCCATAGTGTGTTTGCGACAGTTTACTATCTGCAGCGCATTTGGGATAGTTTACCATCCATAGTGTATTTGCGACAGTTTACTATCTGCAGCACATTTCGGATAGTTAACTGTCTGCCTTGCATTTGGGATAGTTTACTATCTGCAGCGCATTTGGGATAGTTTACTGTCTGCCTTGCATTTGGGATAGTTTACTATCTGCAGCGCATTTGGGATAGTTTACCATCCATAGTGTGTTTGCGACAGTTTACTATCTGCAGCGCATTTGGGATAGTTTACCATCCATAGTGTATTTGCGACAGTTTACTATCTGCAGCACATTTCGGATAGTTAACTCTCTGCCTTGCATTTGGGATAGTTTACTATCTGCAGCGCATTTGGGATAGTTTTCCATCCATTGCATATTTGCGAAAGTTTACTATCTGCAGCGCATTTGGGATAGTTTACTATCCATAGTGTATTTGCAATGGTTTACCATCTGCAGCACATTTGGGATAGTTTACTATCTGCAGTGCATTTGGGATAATTTAGTATCTGCCACACATTTGGGATAGTTTACTATCCATAGTGTATTTGTGATAGTTTACTATCTGCAGCGCATTTGGGATAGTTTACTATCTGCAGCGCATTTAGGATAGTTTACTCTCCATTGTGTATTTGCAATAGTTTACTATATGCAGCGCATTTGGGATAGTTTACTATCTTCAATGCATTTGGGATAGGTTACTGTCTGCCTTGCATTTGGGGTAGTTTACTATGTGCAGCGCAGTTGGGATAGTTTACTGTCTGCCTTGCATTTGGGGTAGTTTACTATCTGTAGCACATTTGGGATAGTTTACTATCTGCAGCGCATTTGCAATAGTTTACTATCTGCAGCGCATTTGGGATAGTTTACTGTCTGTAGTTCTTTTGCCCATTAGCTTGGATTCCTTGTCGTAGGGTCTCTTTTTGTCTGCTTTGCAAGCAAAAATCAGAGCCCCTGAGTCACAAAAGTGTGTAGGTACCTTTCCACACTAGTTTCTCCTCATTCAGGGACCCCATGGCTTATAAGAAGGTAAAGCTGAGTGGCTCTCAAGTGTCCCAGGAAAACAGTCCTTTCTGCATGTTTGATCTGCCAAGTTGCCAATATCTGATCTGAGCTCCTCAGAAGCTCCTAGGAGAAAGAGGTGACTCAGGGAGCAGAAATGATGGGCCAGAGAGAGAACCCTAATAGCTAGCTTCACAGGCCCATCTCTGTCTTTGCCCACCTTTCCTCACCCAAGTACAACAGTGTTTGGAGTGGCTTAGTGTAACCTAACTTTCAGTGGTCCCCTCAGGACTGGTAGGCCAAATTTAGAGCCCACACAAGGAAGTCTATTGGTCATGTGGTGTGCCTTGAAGCCTGCAGCATGTAAAAAGTTATATTTAATACCCTGGGAGAGACCAAATACAGGAAAGCCAGTTTGTGGGATACAATTATTTTTTCATAAGAAGCCTCTCTGCCTATGTGTTTGGTAAACTGTTAGCCCTCTAAGAGTTGGACTGTGGATTCTCTAGTCTTATAGTTAGACACGTGGACAAGCAGAACGTTTAAGAGTCAGAGGAACATTCCAGGATCTTCAACAGCCCTAAACAAGGTCATTGGCATCCTGCTAGATATGGTTGGCACAGAGCACACTCTGTGACTGACCCTCTCAATCAGCCCAGCATCCTGTCCAGTGGCCTGACCGAGGGCTGCACTGTAATCCTTGTTTCCTTTGAAAGTCTGGAATTCATAAGGAAATAGGGTGGGGGTAAAGAATGGATGATCTAATTTTCCAAGGGAGTATTGGATTAGTCAACAACTTGATCCCCACTGCTGAGATAGCTCCTTTTGTGAATATTTTACCTACCCACCTGCTAGGTCTCAAGGCTTCTGAAAGTACTCTTCCTAGACAACTACACTGAGCATCTTAAAACAGCACAGTCTGCTTCCTTCCCTCACTGATTCTGAAAAACGGAGCCGCTCCCAGTCCCTTTCGTATCCACCCTGACTCCAGGCAGGATAACACTGGATAAAGTCCCCTATATCCTTCAGCATAAAAATCCCAAAAGTCCACTCCAAGGCCTTCTGCCTGCTCTTGTTTAAGACACAGTGGCTGGTCTCTGAAGCAGCCTCTAGAGGCTCTGATGCCAGCCAGTACATTTAAAGATGAGCTAAAGGAAACAGAAGGGTAGTTGGTACACTTCTTTATCTCCCGACATTTGCCTGGAGCAAAAGAAAGAGGAGAATGATGCTGAGATTAAAGCCTCTCCCCTGGAGTGATTCTATGTGGCCTGTTGCGTTGGTGCAGAGAGGCAAGGCAATAAGGCCTTCTGGGGTTCAGCAGAGAGACAGGTCAAACAAGGGTACTGCCCAGGCTGCTGGGGCCCCAATCAAGATGTGACTCTTCTCCAAAGGGAGCAGATGACACGGGCCTCCTTGTACCAGTGTGGCAGCCAGCATGTGTGCAGGATGGGGACAGACACTCAGGATAGGCAGAGAGAGCCACATTACCAAGTAATCAGACTTGTTTACCACTCTTGAGGTAAATGTGGGAAGCCAACAACCAGCATTTTGTAGAGTCACTTGGCGGAAGAAACACCATCCACACAAGTCAATCAAAAATATATATTCTTGGCTGGGCGTGGTGGCTCACACCTGTAATCCCAGCACTTTGGGAGGCCGAGGAGGCGGATCACCTGAGGTCAGGAGTTCAAGACCAGCCTGGCCAACATGGTGAAACCCATCTCTACTAAAAATACAAAAAATTAGCTGGGCATGGTGATGGGCACCTGTAATCCGAGCTACTCAGGAGGCTGAGGCAACAGAATCGCTTGAACCTGGGCGGCGGAGCTTGCAGTGAGCTGAGGTTGCGCCACTGCACTCCAACCTGGGCCACAAGAGTGAAACTCCGTCTCAAAGAAAAAAGGTCTATTTTTAAAAACTACTAACTGAGAAAGAAGTAAGAGCCTTGAAGAAACAGAAAGAAGGAACCTGAGCATGCCACGGCAGGAGAGGATGAGAACGGCATGGAGAAGGGGGAGGCGCAAGCAGCTGGAAGCCCACGGCGGAATGGGCCGGTGCTCGGAGAGCTGTTCGGATGGCACGGGAGCTGATTGTCTTGACGTTAAGTTCCTCGGTGAGGAGAGAACAGAAGTTAATGGCACCCACCGGGCCTGGGTGGAGCCTCAGCACCACCAAAGAAAGCAGATTCTGCATTTGGAAAGCCTAGGCCCTCTCCTTGAACCTGGTTCTCAAGGTTTCGGTGATGAGTCACCTCGTTCCCCCTCACCAGCTTCTGTCTTTAGCCACAGCACTGACGTGTCTGAACCCGCACGCACCTCC
Source organism: Homo sapiens (assembly GCF_000001405.40). NCBI lineage: Eukaryota > Metazoa > Chordata > Mammalia > Primates > Hominidae > Homo > Homo sapiens. The sequence goes on from NC_000003.12 coordinate 197,394,787, forward strand.
TGAGCTGGAGCACCCGTCATCTTCACACCACAGATGACTAACCATGGCCTGCTCACAGTCTCCTCATTATCACGGAATGAAAATGCTACATGCCTGAAAGCTGAGGTTTTGGGAACAGGATGAGAAGAGCTGCGGAAGGAATGGAGATGCAGGTGGCAATGAGCTAAGCTTTTGACAGGCCCTCGCAGTCCTCGGGAGCAGGGGCCAAGTGACCACAGATCCAGAGAGAGTGCTCTCCTTGGCAGGGCCGCATGAAATCTCATTCATTACAGCCTCCGATTAGGTTCCCAGGCTCATTAAAATCTGTGTGCCATTCACTGTTTCTCTTGGATCAGACTGGATTCTACTGTGCAGAGAATTGCCAGGGCTTCCAAGTGTCCAGTGCAGGCCAGATAGCATCTCTTGGCTTCACTTCTTCCTGAAGTTTCTCCCTGTGCTTCTGTGTGCTCACTGCCAAGAACACAAGTCAGCATTCAGGCCCACGGCTGCCAGCTGAAACAAGGGCTTCTGACCCAGACAAAGCCCGCAGATAAAGTCCAAAGCACTTGAGCTAAACTTACTCTAAAAACTATGGCAGTACAGGACAAAGGAAGACACTCGGGTTAGACACAAAGAACCACAGCTAAGGCAACCTTTAAAAAAGGAGAGTGGGCTGGGCGCAGTGGCTCATGCCTGTAATCCCAGCACTTTGGGAGGCCAAGGTGGGCGGATCACTTGAGCTCAGGAGTTCGAGACCAGCTTGGGCAACATGGCAAAACTCCATCTCTACCAAAAAAAAAAAAAAAAGTTAGCCAGGCACAGTGGCATGCACCTGTGGTCCCAGCTACTTGGGAGGCTGAGGCAGGAGAATTGCTTGAGCCAGGAGTACAGAGGTTGCAGTGAGCTTCTCGTGCCATTGCACTCCAGCATGGGGGACAGGAGTGAAACCCTGTCTCAAAAAAATAAAATAAAATAAAATAGGAGAGTAAAGAGGAGCTTTTACTCTATCTGATAGAAAGACATATTATAGCCAGGTGCGGTGGCTCACGCCTGGAATCCCAGCACCTGGGGAGGCTGAGGCAGGAGGATCACTTGAGGCCAGAAGTTCAAGACCAACCTGGGCAACACAGTGAGACCCCATCTCTACAAAAAATAGAAAAAAATAATTAGCTGGTCACGGTGGCACGTGCCTGTAAGTCCAAGCAACTCAGGAGACTTAGACGGGAGGATTTCTTGAGCCCAGGAGGTTGGGGCTGCAGTGAGCCGTGGCTGCACCACTGCACTCCCCAGCCTGGGTGACAGAGTGGGAACCTGTCTCAACAACAACAAAAAAAGACATATTAAAAAGCCATCATAATAAAAACAGTAGTTTAAAAACCATAAAAATAGATCACCAGAACAGAATAGAGAGCTCAGATTCAGTCCCAACTTAATGTAGGATGAAGGTGAGGCCGGGCGCGGTGGCTCACATCTGTAATCCCAGCACTTTGGGAGGCCGAGGCAGGTGGATCATGAGGTCAGGAGTTCAAGACCAGCCTGGCCAAGATGGCAAAACCCCGTATCTACTAAAAATACAAAAAATTAGCCAGGCGTGGTGGCATGCACCTGTAATCCCAGCTACTCTGGAGGCTGAGGCAGAGAATTACTTAAACCTGGAGGGGCGGAGCTTGAAGTGAGCCGAGATTGCGCCACTGCACTCCAGCCTGGGCGACAGAGTGAGACTCCATCGCAAAAAAAATAAAAAATGATTAAAAAATAAAAAATAACATATAGGATGCAGGTGGTCCCGCACATCACGGGGAAGGACAGATTATTTAGTAAATGGCATTTGGGAAACAGGCTCATTGTATAGAGAAAAATAAAACTGGACCCCTACTTAACACTAAATACAAAAGAGGACTCTGCATGCTTTAAAAACCTAAGTATAAAAGGTTAAAGAAAAATAGTGGAAATAAAATGGGCAGAAGAGAGTGCAGGGACGTATCTTTGTGATCGATCCTCCTCAAAACAAAATTTCAAAAGCATAAGGCAAATTTTTACGAATATGATTAAATTAAAATTAGGGGTTTCTAATCAACAAAAGTCCCCATGGACAAAGTTAGTAGACTGTTAACAGAACAGGCGTAGATATTTGTAACATCTAAATCAATGAGGGATTGATACGAAGAATATGGAAAGATCTTGAACATTTATGACTGTAATTAAAAATGGGGAAAGGGGCCGGGCGTGGCTCACGCCTGTAATTCCAGCACTTTGGGAGGCTGAGGCAGGCAGTTCATGAGGTCAGGAGTTCAGGACCAGCCTGACCAATATGGTGAAACCCAACTCTACTAAAAATACAAAAATTAGCCAGGTGTGGTGGCATTTGCCTGTAGTCCCAGCTACTCAGGAGGCTGAGGCAGGAGAATCACTTGAACCCGGGAGGTGGAGGTTGCAGTGAGCCAAGATCGTGCCACTGCACTCCAGCCTGGGTGACAGAGCACGTATCCATCCCCCCACCAAAAAAAGAAAAAAAATTGTGGAAAGGATATAAACAGATTTATACAGAAGATGAAATTCCAAAAAGCGAACAAGGTGGCATAGGTCAGTTGTGCTGAAGCAGACTCGGAGCTAGGGAGTTGTGAGCAGGAGGTCTATGTGGGAGTGATCTCAGCAGCAACGCGGTGAGGGAGTGAGGAAATCAGGATAGGACTGGGCAGAGCAAGAATCTGAACGGTGATGTGGGTACAGACAGGCCTTGGCTGATCCCACTGGGGAACGCTGATGCTGGCATGTCTTTTCAGAGATGTCCTGAATGTAGGCAAGGGACTGGGGCTTTGTACCCCTTCATTGACTAGCCTCTGGATGGACACTGCCCCCACGGAGAGCTCATAAGTGTGGGTGAAGCTGCTTACTTGGACTGAGGGCAATTCCCAGGGAGGGTCTCACCTGTGAGCCATTCACAGCCGGCACTCTGGCAGGGAGGGGTGGAGAGGGGTAAGGGGAGGCATAGCTTTTAGTCCTGAAGCAGGAACCGGAGCGGTATACCATGCATCTACCATGAAGAGAGACTCAAAAGTTTTAGTAACACAAAAAATGAAAATTAAAACAACAGCCGGATGTCACTGTATGCCTTTTATATTGGCAAAATATAGAAATACAGGTAGTGCCAAGTATTGGCAGGGATGTGGGACATAGCCACTCCTGTACCCTGCTGGCGAGAGGACAGATTGAGAGGAGTCGGCATTGGCAGTGTTCCGGGGCACACACAGGCATTGTTAGTCACATTCGGTATAACATGCTAGCAATGCCTCCACGAGGTATACATCCCAGGCCGCTCTTATGCAATTCTGTAAGGAGAGGTGTATGCAAATGTTGCCTGCACAGGAATTAGTGGTGGGAGCTGGAGACTCCCTGAGTTTCCATCACTGAGATGGAGAAATAAAATACAGTGAATGCACGCCAGGGAGTACGATGAAACAGGACTGAGGCAAAATAATAGACGTACACATAGCAGCATAGACGGATCTTAAGAACAGTGAAAAATGGGGGAAAAGCATGTAAAAGCGTTAGAAATAATGAGATAGAATATGTACATAAATTTAAAATACTGCAAATGCTATTTGTATGAAAATATGCGAACAAAACGATACACATGAAAGAACTAGGAATCATGTGCAGTGAGAGAAGGAAATGGAATTGCAGGATGGGGACTAAAAGGAATAAGGAAGTAAATAATTCACGAGGGGGTTTCCCAGGGACCAACGATGCTGACATCCAGGGGCCAAGGAGTAGGAGTAACTCAACTCTGTACATCTGACTTCTAAGACTAGCAGCAGCAACCACCACCATTTGAGCCCCAAGAAAGCAAGCTCAGGTTCTGCACCTTCTCTTTCTCTGAGATCTCCCCTCAAAGGTCACAGGCTGAGTCACTGGAAAATGGCAGAGCCCTGCCCCACATCACTCCCCACTCTTACGTATAAATGAAATGACACACACCTCTGATCTCCAGTGGGCTAAAGAGGTTGGCACCTGCATGGAGGTTCATGCCCCTTGAGGCAGAATTGACTTTGCTGCAGGGAAGGATGCTTTCCATTCTCTTTCCCACCAACTCTCCCACCTTTGATTCCAATCAAGTCACCAACCAAACTGAAATGCAATAGGCATAAGCTCAATGCTTGCCTTTGATCAAGACCCTCATGACAGACGGAGGAAACACAACCAACTCAGAGTGATGTCTTAGATCTTGCCCACCTGGGCCAGGCGCGGTGGCTCACGCCTGTAATCCCAGCACTTTGGGAGGCCAAGGTGGGCGGCTCACCTGAGGTCGGGAGTTTGAGATCAGCCTGAACAACATGGAGAAACCCCGTCTCTACTAAAAATACAAAAAAAAATAGTTGGGTGTGGTACACATGCCTGTAATCCCAGCTACTTGGGAGGCTGAAGCAGGAGAATTGCCTGAACCTGGGAGGCAGAGGTTGCGGTGAGTGGAGATCGTGCCACTGCACTCCAGCCTGGGCCACAAGAGCGAAACTCCATCTCCAAAAAAAAAAAAAAAAAAACAATTTTGCCCACTGGGAGAGGGCCCAAAACAGTGAGGTGACATCTGGCCTGACACTTGCCTGACAAGTTCTCTGGGCTGATGGAGAATGAGCTTGAACCCTCTTATGAAATCTATCCTGCCTGAACTCTCAGTCCCAGAAACCCTGGAGGCCCTGAGAGAGCCGGAAAAATCATGAGGCTTATCAGTTGTTCTTGGGTCCCATTTCCCACCGTGGCTATTCCAACCCCCAACTGCTACCCCTGACATCCCCAACCCTATCCCACAAACAATTGAGAACCAAGGCCAGGTTACCAGTCCAAAGTGAGGAACACAGAGATTGAGATCCAGGGATGCAGAGGAGAGCTGGGGTGGGAAGAGTGAGGGAGGCCCTGCCACTCAGGCTCATAAATGTGTAAAAGGAAAATAAATCTTGGGACCCAAAAATCACTAAGCCAAGAGAAAAGTCCAGCCGGGAACTGTCAGGCAAACCTGCCTCCCATTCTATTCCTGGATAAGATAGCTACAAAGACAAGAAGCTACAGACCTCCCTCACAATTTGCCCGTGGGAAAATTCCCTGTGGACGAAGGCCAGGCAGAGCTCCAAGTCTCCCTCTGAGGCCCACCAGACACAAACGCACATCTGATGGCTGCCTCTGCCCTACCGTTTATGTAAAAATGCAGATTCACTGAGCCAGACTAAATTGTGTATTCAGTGGAAGGCTGATCAAGGACTCAAAAGAATGCAACCTTTTGTCTCTTATCTGCTTCCTACCTGGAAGCCCTCACTTCCAGTTGTCCTGCCTTACAAAATTGAACCAATGTACATCTTACACACATGGATTGATGTCGCATGTCTCTCTAAAATGTACAGAATGAAACTGTAAGGCCGAGTACGGTGGCTCACGCCTGTCATCTCAGCACTTTGGGAGGCTGAGGCGGGCAGATCACCATTGGTTGGAAGTTCGAGACCAGCCTGGCCAACATGGAGAAACCCTGTCTCTACTAAAAATACAAAATTAGCTGGGCGTGATGGCGCATGCCTGTAATGGAGAATCGCTTGAACCCGGGAGCCAGAGGTTGCGGTGAGCCGAGATCACGCCACTGCACTCCAGCCTGGGCAATAAGAATGAAACTCCGTCTCAAAAGAAAAAGAAAAACGGTATCCCCGACCACCTGGGGCACATGTCGTCAGGACTTCCTGAGGCTGTGTCACAGGCGTGTCCTTAACCTTGGCAAAATAAACTTTCTAAATTGACTGAGACCTGTCTCAGATATTTGGGGTTCACAGATGGAAACAGAAAGTCAAGTGGTCATAATAGTGCTGCGAACCCCCTGGCCAGCACCGGGCCCTGACTCCCAGGCCAACTCTCACTTTTCCTCACTATCATGGTGATGACTATACAGTTATTACTATATAAGGAGTCTCTTCTAGGACACCAGCATTGCATTCCACAAACAAGTCTGTAATAAATAAGATCCCTAGGAAAAAGGAGAGTCTCAGGATCCATGGTAATGGAGTTTGTGTAGGTAGAATTTTTTAATCATGTTTTCCTTCTGGGTCCAGAAAGTCAGCTTCTGTGCCTGCCTTAATGCTTCATCCTGGAAAGCTCAGGGTAAGCTGGGTCTTGCTGCTGAAAGGTGTTCTAAGGACAGCAGTTGGTCAGTGATGGTATAAAATGCCTGTGCACAGTAGGCCTCTCCAAATGTTAGCTCCCTTCCCTACCTCCATTTTCCTTCTCCCGCGTTGTTTTCACTGAGGAGTCATGCTGGACCCCAGGAGATCTGGCCTCTGGTCTTGGCTCAGGTGTCTTTTTACAGCCTGGTCTTAAGCAAGAGGCTCTCCCTCCCTGTAGCCTTCTGTTTCGCTGACTCTAGTTTCTCATGTTTAGAAACGGAGCTAGTATCATCTATCTTGGTGGTACCCAGCTTGGTCCCCACTCCCTTTTTTCTAGCCTTTGGAAAATGAAAAATATTAAATTTTAATTTTTTAAATAGAAAACTATAAAAAGAAGCTATAATTAACCATGATCCAGGTAAGCTGTGTTGGCATTAAAAGATGGGAAGGAGGCACATGATTAGAAAATAGAATCAAGGGCAAGGTGTGGTGGCTCACGCCTGTAATCCCAGCACTTTGGGAGGCCAAGGTGGGTGGATCACCTGAGGCCAGGGGTTCGAGACCAGCCTGGCCAACATGATGAAACCTGTCTCTACTAAAAATACAAAAATTAGCTGGGCATGTGGCGTGTGCCTGCAGTCCCAGCTATTCATGAGGCTGAAACAGGAGAATCACTTGAACCCGGGAGGCAGAGGTCGCAGTGAGCTGAGATCGCGCCACTGCACTCCAGCCTGGGTGACACAGTGAGTCTCCGTCTCAAAAAAAAAAAAAAAAAATAGCATCAACATGGAAACATACTAAATGAAAATTGAGGAGTTACCTTCTCCCATTCCCACTTTCCATAGTAACTACCTCCCAAAAGTAAACTATTAACAGTTTCTTATCATTCCATCCAGAAAAATTATGCATATATATTGACATGCCCTGTTTTTAAAAAGTACACAAAATTGGTCATATCCTAAATAGTATTCTCTAATTTGTTATTTTAAACTTAATAATATATCTTTTATACATATATATAAATCTATTTTATTCTCTATAACAGCTAAATAATATTTTGTGAAATGGACATACGATTCAGTCCAGGAAGATTTTGAAGTTTCTCTCTTTTTTTTTTTTTTTTTTTTTGCGAACACTCGCTCATCCTCTTGCCCCTTGATTTTCTCCTGAGAGTCTGACTTGGCCAGGAGCTGTGATTCAGGTGACAAGTAAGATAGAGAAGTTTCTGTGTACCCAAACGTCCGCGGCAAAATTGCTGTGAAACTGTTATGGGTGACAGTGTTTGCTTGTTTCCCTTACTAGAGAAAAGTTCCAAAGTCAATAGCCAGTTTGCCATATATCTTGATGGCTGAACATTTTGGACAAACTTCAATGTTTTCAACAATAAAATTCCAGATTTGGAAAGGACCTGTAGGTCATTTGGCTTAACCTCCTTGAACTCACTGTAGAAATTTCTTCTACAAGCCTCTGTGTTATCTTTTTTTTTTTTTTTTTTCTGAGACGGAGTTTCGCTCTTGTTACCCAGGCTGGAGTGCAGTGGCACAATCTCAGCTCACCACAGACTCCTTCCCCCAGGATCAAGCTATTCTCCTGCCTCAGCCTCCTGAGTAGCTGGGATTACACGCATGCGCCAACACACCCAGCTAATTTTGTATTTTTAGTAGAGACGGGATTTCTCCATGTTGGTCAGGTTGGTCTCGAACTCCTGACCTCAGGTGATCCACCCACCTTGGCCTCCCAAAGTCTGGGATTATAGGCATAAGCCACCGTGCCTGGCCTGTGTTATCATTTACTGTCACTATATCATAATATCGAACAACTTTTACTAACAGAAATTCTTCCTCATTTCCCCAGACCAGTCACCATGCAATGTCCCCGCACTGGCCCCACTCTGCCCTTTAAAACATCCTTGAACATGTGTGTTCCTCTTCCCACACAGCTCTCCAGATGATTGAGGACCACACTCACATCCCTCTGAATCCACTGTTTATTCCTTTAACAAATATCTCTCTAGAGCCTGCCATGTTTCCAGCACGGAGGCAGGCACCTTGTAAACTCCACGAAGGCAGAGAGGTCAGTCTAACTTGCTTCATGTGGTAACCACAGCACCTAAAAGGGCTTTCTGTGCAGTAGGCATTTAATACATATTTGTTGAATAAATGAATGAATACGAAGGTGGATAACATAGTCTCTGTCCTCAAGGAACTCTTAGTGTAATGGGAGTGGGGGAACAGAACTATAGGCAATTCTAATCTAGGAGCCATGAGAGAATGTGAGTAGCAGAACCTCAAAGGACAGGCCCCTAACCCAGCATTCGTTACCTTCCCTTCTCCACTGTGAGGGATCATCCATTACCTTCCCTTCTCCACCACCTCCCTCATGCACTGTGATGTCAGCCACATCATTCTGTCATGGTATGTCTGCGTGTCTGTTTCCCAATGAACTGTCAGCTCTTTGAGGACAGGGACTGAGTTTTATTTAGCTTTATAACCCTAATGCTTAGCACAGGGTCTGGCCTAGAGGATGCATTTCTTATTTATTTATTTACTTAGATTCATTTTATTTATTTATTCGCTCTTGTTGCCCAGGCTGGAGTGCAGCGGCATGATCTTGGCTCACTGCAACCTCCACCTCCTGGGTTCAAGTGATTCTCCTGCCTCAGCCTCCCAAGTAGCTGAGATTACAAGTGCCCACCATATGCCTGGCTAATTTTTGTATTTTTTAGTGGAGACGGGGTTTCACCACGTTGGCCAGGCTGGTCTCCAACTCCTGACCTCAAGTGATCCGCCCACCTCAGCCTCCCAGAGTGCAGGGATTACAGGCGTGAGCCACCATGCCCGGCCCATATTCGTTAAATGAAGTGACTGACGGATGAATGGATGGCTAAATGAATTAATATATTAACACTCCCACAGAAAAAAAATGAAGTATCTGCTTTCATGGGATTAAATTAGTCTTGCCTGATATTTTATCAATACAAAAACTTAGTGAAATAGAAGTGACAGCAATCTTGGGAGGAAACGACCATGACACCTAGGGCTCCACAGAGCCTCACTGTTTCAACCAACATTGAATGAGCACCTACTCTGTGCCAGGTGTGCTGCCAGACTCTAGGTCAAGACAAATGAGACACAGCTCCTGCCTTGAAGGTGCTCCCCGACTAGATGAGGAGATGCACATGGAAATCACGAGGCCGCAGGTGACTCTGACAGGGTGACAAGGGTGCTGTGCAGGGTGGGATGGTCAGGAAAGCCACTTGGAAGAGAAGACGCCTGAACGGGGTCCCGAGGAAACTGTCCGGGTAAGGAGATGAAGGAAGGCCATTCTAGGTGGAGGGAGCAACAGGGGCAGAGCCCGAAGGGTGAGGACAGGCCGTTTGCAGGTACTGCATAGCACCTGGGGAGAGCAGGGAGTGGAGGGAGGGGGAGCGGTGGAGGTGGGGCCAGATCGGGAAGGGCCTTATAGGGCTGCTAAGGAATTTGGACTTGACCGTGATGAGGCCATGAGGGAGCCATTGAAAGAATTCCAAACTCCCAGGATAATCAGATTTTTTGCGTTTTAGAAGATTGTTCTTACAGCACTTTAGAAAATGGATTAGGCTTGCACGGTTGGTGGCTCACACCTGTAATTCCAGCACTTTGGGAGGCTGAGGTGGGAGGATCACTTGAGGCTAGTCGGCCTCCCCAAGTGCTTGGATTCCGGGTGTGAGCAGCACTGTCTCCCTGGCTGCTTCAGTCTTCTGCAGACAAAAGGCTCTGTTAAATTTGCAAGTTACAAGCACCTGAGCCACACAATGGGCCAATCAACCAAATCATGTGTAAAGCTATCTCCTGGCTGTGAGGAATAAAATCAATATTTTAAGACCTTAATTTTTCAAATGCTATACCCCAGAGGTGATTCATAACTTGAGGAGCGCCTCAGTAGGAGAACACGGGCTAAGGATTTGTGTGAACATGGCTTAGCCTGCAATTTCCCATATGCAATCGGTCAAAGGGCTGACAAAAGATAAAATCACAGAACTGTTCTGACACAGCTTCCCAGGGAGATCCCAGAGGAGCCAGGCTGCTCCCGCTAAGAAGCCTAGACTCAAAATAAGGAGAGAAGAAACTTGCACTAAGGAAGGAGCTGCGGCCCCCAGGGCTCTCCGAGTGCTGGTGTCTTCAAGAATTCCTGCATCCTTTGCACAAAGTGGGGCTGGTAAAGTGGCAGGGGTGGGGTGGGAACGGGGGAGAATGGGACTCTTCCAAACACTACCTTTAGAATAAAGTGTAAAATATTGGCCGGGCGGGGTGGCTCACACCTGTAATCCTACGAGGTGGGCGGATCAACTGAGGTCAGGAGTTCGAGATAAGCCTGGCCAACATGGTGAAACCCTGTCTCTACTAAAAATACAAAAATTAGCTGGGTGTGGTGGCGGGCGCCTATAATCCCAGCTACTTGGGAGGCTGAGGCAGGAGAATCATTTGAACCCAGGAGGCGGAGGTTGCAGTGAGCCGAGATTGCACCATCGTGCCATTGCACTCCAGCCTGGGGGACAAGAACGAGACTTCGCTAAAAAAAAAAAAAAAAAGTAAGCTATTTTCTGAGAAAGTGCCAGTCGTCTTGTATCCCTGCCCCTAAATCATCACTTCATGCAGGAAATTAGCCTCCTGTCCGTGGTGCATGTGCCATTAGGACCATGTGTCACTGAGTGGACTGGCATGGGGGTGGCGGATCAAGTTAAGAGTGTGGATGGAGGCCGGGTGCGGTGGCTCACTCCTGTAATCCCAGCACTTTGGGAGGCTGAGGCGGGCGGATCACTTGAGGTTGGGAGTTCAAGACCAGCCTGACCAACATGGAGAAACCTCATCTCTACTAAAAATACAAAATTAGCCAGGTGTGGTGGTGCGCGCCTGTAATCCCAGCTACTCGGGAAGCTGAGGCAGGAGAATTTCTTGAACCCGGGAGGCGGAGGTTGCGGTGAACCAAGATCGTGCCATTGCACTACTCCAGCCTGGGCAACAAGAGCGAAACTCCGTCTCAAAAAAAAAAAAAAAAAAGAGTGTGGATGGTTTGGTAAAAACTCACCTCACTAACGGAGGAAGCAACCAAACCCAGCCTAGAGAAATGGAGGCGGCGTAGCATCGTGGATGCTCCTGGATTGGCATGAAGAAGCCTTGAGTTCTGAGTCCCGGGCTCTGCCACTGTGTGACCTTGGACAAGACAACGATCCCTCTCAGCATCAGTTTCTGTAACACTAAAATAATGATAATAATCTCCTCCGTACTGGGTTCTTGGGAAGATGAAATGCGGTTAAGAAGATTTGCAGGAGCACTTTGCTGTTCCCTCAGACTGTGTATTAGTCAGGACACTGCTTTGGTTTCTGTAACAGAGACCAAAATAATAATGGCTTAAACGAAATAGAATTTATTTTTCTCTCACATGAAGCCCCACGCTGGTGTGGCTGCTCTGGCCTGTGAGGTCATCAGAGCCCCGCTTCTTCTGTCTTACTGGCTTCCTTAGCCTGCTCCAAGATGGCTCCCTGCCAGGACCACATGCCAGCCAGCAGAAGGGGCGGGGGGCCGAGGGAGGGCAACCCTGTCCACATAACCCAGCACTGTCTACACGCTTCCTCCCTCTTCCTGTTAGGGTCCAGCGTCACATCCACCTCTAAGAGAGGCTGGGAAATGCAGCTGTTTTCTGGGAAGCCTATACTCAACTAAAAATTCTGTGATTATGAAAGAAGAGGAAATGGACTTTTTTTTTTTTTAGATGGAGTCTCACTCTGTCGCCCAGGCTGGAGTGCAGTGGCGCGATCTCAGCTCACTGCAACCTCCACCTCCTGGGTTCAAGCATTCTTCTGCCTCAGCCTCCTGAGTAGCTGGGATTATAGGCGACTGCCACCACGCCTGGCTGATTTTTGTATTTTTAGTACAGACGGTGTTTCACCATGTTGGCCAGGCTGGTCTCCAACTCCTGATCTCAGGTGATCTACCCGCCTTGGCCTCCCAAAGTGCTGGGATTACAGGCTTGAGCCACCATGCCTGGCCCGAGGAGATGGACTTTGAGGGACAATTCAAAGTCCGCACGATCTCCCCTATTTGTTTGTCTAATTCCCTTACATCCTCAGGTCTCGGGTTTATGTCACTTCCTTGGGGAGGCCTTTCCAGACCCTCAGTGCTCCATGAGCCGCCCCCATTGCTCCCTCACGCCTCCTTCACAACACTCGCTGCGCCTGTAATTTTTGACTGACTGTCTATTTTCCCATGAGAAGGTAATTCTGTACCCATGGACTGTGCTTCCTCCCGAGGCCTGCCTGTGGAGGCACAGAGTGGATACTCGATACATCACTCTGACGGGTAGCGAGGTGCGATCCCCAGAGGGCTCTGGGAGCTCCTCGGGCAGAGCTTCACGGCTTCGGGCCACCACCAAGTCCTCTCCAACCCAGGATGTGTTTGGAAAGAAACTGGTGCCTGCTACTGCTTCCTCAGTGGTGGGCGTGCCGGCACCGTGTCCTTTTATCTGCTAGTCCTCTCTTTGTGTGGGCCTCTAGAACTGCTCAAGTCCAGCCTCAGATAGTCCGTGAGGGGGTAACTGTGCCTTTTCGTAATCTTGCTTCTCAACTCTGTTGTTCAGGATCTGGGAATGAACAGAGGGTGTTGTGGGAAGAGCTTTTCCCAGCACAGAGGCCAGAATGAAGGACACAGGGAGAGATTTGGTTTTCCATTCCCGGTCTCTATAATGCAACTAATGGGCCCGAAGCCTGCCCTGTGAAGAGGTGGGGAAGGAACCTCAGTAGAGGATGTCACCAGGGAGTTGACCCCCACCCCCTCTGTGGGGGCAGATGGCTCCCCAGGGTCTGGGCACTGTTTGGCTCCTGGGCAGCTCCCTGGTGCTCCACTTCAGTAACCTCTAGCTCACTCTGGCTTTTTTCTTTCTTTTTTTTTGAGACAGTCTCACTCTGTCGCCCAGGCTGGAGTGCAGTAGTGTGATCTTGGCTCACTGCAACCTCCACCTCCTGGGTTCAAGCAATTCTCCTGCCTCTGCCCCTGAGTAGCTGGAATTACAGGTGTGCCCCACCAGGCCCAGCTAATTTTTGTATTTTCAGGAGAGGCAGGGTTTCACCATGTTGGCCAGGTTGGTTTCAAACTCCTGACCTCAGGTGATCCACCAGCCTTGGGCTCCCAAAGTGCTGGGATTATAGGTGTGAGCCACTGCACCTGGTCTCACCCTTGTTTTGACATAAAACGCATCCTTTTCTAAGAAATCTTCTTAGCTCATTTTCTTTGTTCCGAAGAATGTCTTTTGGGAATTTCGTCAAACATGACTCTGGTTCTCGTGTTGAGTGGAGGGCTATGCCCTGGGGTTGACCTTTATCCCATTACATTCTCGGCACCCTCCATTTTTCTTTGATTTAAACTAGAGGGAAGCTTGGCTTGGGCTTGGAGCAGTCAGCTCTTTCTGGCAGTCTGCAGAGCTGCTGAAGGGGAAGTCACCAGACACCAAGCCCTGGCGGTTGCTAGGTGCTCAGGTTACACTGATACACAAAATGAGCGTATTCAAGACCCAAGTTCAAGTTTCCCTGCTTATAATTTTCTGGAGAGTCAGGGAGGGAGCAGCCATATCCTACCCACAGCCCCTGGGAACTCTGCCTCATGTCTGGCATCAAGGGAATCTTTCCTCCCAACGGTGGCACAGGACTGACCTGGGAACCCACACAATTGCAGCTTCATTCTGGCAGCTGGGGTTTTTGCCCCATAAAATGGCAGTGTCCCTTTAATTCCCTGCGGGTCTCCTCTCCGGGCTGGCAGTAGGTTAAATGGATCAACTGACCAGCCCTTTCTCACTGGGGGTTGTGGGATGGAAATTCTTCTTACTTGCTTCAGCTTGTGTCCAGGAACAAAGAACAGTTAAGCAGGGATTAACTTTTCCCTCTGTTGGTTTCTCTGTCCTTTCTCAGAAGAGTACACGTCTAATTCAGGGACATAGGTTCCTCTTGGAGCCCCACTTCTTTCCTTCCTTGACCATCCATGGAGCTATTGACTGTCCCAGCTGTTCTAGTCTTCTATACTCCCACTGTGGGGAGCAAAGTGTCTCTCTGGGTTGATTTCCCAGCGTGGCTCCTTGCAACTCTGATTTTAGCTTCACCTATTTCTCTCCAGCACATACCCTGGACTGGCCCTCTACACATTCCAAAAACTTTCTATTAGTGATGTTATTTCCCCAAGTAGCCTTCTTTTCTGAAAAGAGAATATATTGAACATCTTATACACACATTCTTGTTCTCATTGAGATTTGACAGCAAAGGGTGGTAGAAAGCGCACTGATTTGAGAGTTGGGGTTTCTGGGTTCTCATTCTACCTTTGGCATTAACTAGTGTGTGACATGGAGAAAGTCGCTTCCCTTGGCTCACGGTCCCCTCTATAAGGCCAGTGAGTCCTTCCAATGCTAACTCTCTAGTGTCTATATTGAATAATCTTGCCATCTCTTGTGGGTTTGATCAGCATTTTGTCAATCCCCATGACAAACCAGTTTCCAGTTTGGCATGTTTCTGGTGGAGCTAAGGCTGTTGGAACGTGGGAACTGGTCATGATCCATTCTTCATTCTCTCCATTGAGGGCACCCAAAATAAAAGCCAATGGTTTAACGACAGTACTCGGGATGGGGACAGCTGAGATTAGGCCCAGGACGCAACCTCCTCACACTGATATTGAGACCACAGGAGACTGTGGTATCTTGTTCTTGCGGATTCCATGACAACCTGAAGTGTCCATCTCAAAAATGTCATCCTACCACACCATATCCCTCGCCTCCTAAACTCACACCTTAGGCCAATCCTGAGGGCAGCATAGTAACTGGACATGACCCACCAACCATGCTCCAGAAGAGACATCCTGGCTGCCACAGGTCTGCACCTTCCCTGCTGAGGCAGAGCCTTCTTTCCTGAATTTGTTTGCCAAATTCATGTGTCCCCAAATGGTCCTTCTTATAGAGATGTCTGATTTGCAATCCTTACAACACCTTCATTGCTTTAAAAGAATGCAGGAATGGCTGAATAGGAACAGCTCCGGTCTACAGCTCCCAGCGTGAGCGACACAGAAGACGGGTGATTTCTGCATTTCCAACTAAGGTACCGGGTTCATCTCACTGGGAAGCGCCAGACAGTACGTGCAGGACAGTGGGTGCAGCGCACCATGTGCGAGCCAAAGCAGGGCGAGGCATCGCCTCACCCAGGAAGCACAAGGGGTCAGGGAATTCCCTTTCGTAGTCAAAGAAAGGGGTGACAGACAGCATCTGGAAAATCGGGTCACTCCCACCCTAATACTGCGCTTTTCCAACAGGCTTAAAAAACAGCACACCAGGAGATTATATCCCGCACATGGCTCCGAAGGTCCTACGCCCATGGAGTCTCGCTCATTGCTAGCACAGCAGTCCGAGATCAAACTGCAAGGCGGCAGCAAGGCTGGGGGAGGGGCGCCCGCCATTGCCCAGTTAGTTGTTTGATTAGGTAAACAAAGCGGCTGGGAAGCTCCATCTGGGTGGAGCCCATCACAGCTCAAGGAGGCTTGCCTGCCTCTGTAGGCTCCACCTCTGGGGGCAGGGCACAGACAAACAAAAAGACAGCAGTAACCTCTGCAGACTTAAATGTCCCTCTCTGACAGCTTTGAAGAGAGTAGTGGTTCTCCCAGCATGCAGCTTGAGATCTGAGAACGGGCAGACTGCCTCCTCAAGTGGGTCTTTGACCCCCGAGTAGCCTAACTGGGAGGCAACCCCCAGTAGGGGCGGACTGACACCTCACACGGCCGGGTACTCCTCTGAGACAAAACTTCCGGAGGAACAATCAGGCAGCAGCATTTGTGGCTCACCAAAATCCACTGTTCTGCAGCCACCGCTGCTGATACCCAGGCAAACAGAGTCTGGAGTGGACCTCTAGCAAACTCCAACAGACCTGCAGCTGAGGGTCCTGTTTGTTAGAAGGAAAACTAACAAACAGAAAGCACATCCACACCAAAACCCCATCTGTACATCACCATCATCAAAGACCAAAGGTAGATAAAACCACAAAGATGGGGAAAAAACACAGCAGAAAAACTGGAAACTCTAAAAATCAGAGCGCCTTTCCTCCTCCAAAGGAACGCAGCTCCTCACCAGCAACGGAACAAATCTGGACGGAGAATGACTTTGATGAGTTGAGAGAAGAAGGCTTCAGATGATCAAGCTACTCCGAGCTACAGGAGGAAATTTGAACCTATGGCAAAGAAGTTAAAAGCTTTGAAAAAAAAAATTAGACAAATGGATAACTAGAATGACCAATGCAGAGAAGTCCTTAAAGGACCTGATGGAGCTGAAAACCAAGGCACGAGAGCTACATGACAAATGCAGAAGCCTCAGTAGCCGATGCGATCAACTGGAAGAAAGGGTATCAGTGATGGAAGACAAAATGAATGAAATGAAGCAAGAAGAGAAGTTTAGAGAAAAAAGAATAAAAAGAAACGAACAAAGCCGCCAAGAAATATGGGACTATGTGAAAAGACCAAATCTACGTCTGATTGGTGTACCTGAAAGTGACGGGGAGAATGGAACCAAGTTGGAAAATACCCTGCAGGATATTATCCAGGAGAACTTCCCCAATCTAGCAAGGCAGACCAACATTCAGATTCAGGAAATACAGAGAACGCCACAAAGATACTCCTCGAGAAGAGCAACTCCAAGACACATAATTGTCAGATTCACCAAAGTTGAAATGAAGGAAAAAATGTTAAGGGAAGCCAGGGAGAAAGGTTGGGCTACCCACAAAGGGAAGCCCATCAGACTAACAGCTGATCTCTTGGCAGGAACTCTACAAGCCAGAAGAGAGTGGGGACCAATATTCAACATTCTTAAAGAAAAGAATTTTCAACCCAGAATTTCACATCCAGCCAAACTAAGCTTCATAAGTGAAGGAGAAATAAAATACTTTACAGACAAGCAAATGCTGAGAGATTTTGTCACCACCAGGCCTGCCCTAAAAGAGCTCCTGAAGGAAGCACTAAACATGGAAAGGAACAACCCATACCAGCCACTGCAAAAACATGCCAAATTGTAAAGACCATCAAGGCTAGGAAGAAACTGCATCAACTAACGAGCAAAATAACCAGCTAACATCATAATGACAGGATCAAATTCACACATAACAATATTAACTTTAAATGTAAATGGCCTAAATGCTCCAATTAAAAGACACAGACTGGCAAATTGGATAAAGAGTCAAGACCCATCAGTGTGCTGTATTCAGGAAACACATCTCACCTGCAGGGACACACATAGGCTCAAAATAAAGCGATGGAGGAAGATCTACCAAGCAAATGGAAAACAAAAAAAAGGCAGGGGTTGCAACCTAGTCTCTGATAAAACAGACTTTAAACCAACAAAGATAAAAAGAGATAAAGAAGGCCATTACATAATGGTAAAGGATCAATTCAACAAGAAGAGCTAACTATCCTAAATATATATGCACCCAATACAGGAGCACCCAGATTCATAAAGCAAGTCCTTAGTGACCTACAAAGAGACTTAGACTCCCACACAATAATAATGGGAGACTTTAACACCCTACTGTCAACATTAGACAGATCAATGAGACAGAAAATTAACAAGGATACCCAGGAATTGAACTCAGCTCTGCACCAAGCGGGCCTAATAGACATCTACAGAACTCTCCATCCCAAATCAACAGAATATACATTCTTTTCAGCACCACACCACACCTACTCCAAAATTGACCACATAGTTGGAAGTAAAGCACTCCTCAGCAAATGTATATTATAACAAACTGTCTCTCAGACCACAGTGCAATCAAACTAGAACTCAGGATTAAGAAACTCACTCAAAACCGCTCAACTACAAGGAAACTGAACAACCTGCTTCTGAATGACTACTGGGTAAATAATGAAATGAAGGCAGAAATAAAGATGTTCTTTGAAACCAACGAGAACAAAGACACAACATACCAGAATCTCTGGGAAACATTCAAAGCAGTGTGTAGAGGGAAATATATAGCACTAAATGCCCACAAGAGAAAGCAGGAAAGATCTAAAATTGACACCCTAATATCACAATTAAAAGAACTAGAAAAGCAAGAGCAAACGCATTCAAAAGCTAGCAGAAGGCAAGAAATAACTAAGATCAGAGCAGAACTGAAGGAAATAGAGACACAAAAAACCCTTCAAAAAATTAATGAATCCACGAGCTGGTTTTTTGAAAGATCAACAAAATTGATAGACCGCTAGCAAGACTAATAAAGAAGAAAATAGAGAAGAATCAAATAGACGCAATAAAAAATGATAAAGGGGATATCACCACCGATCCCACAGAAATACAAACTACCATCAGAGAATATTATAAACACCTCTACACAAATAAACTAGAAAATCTAGAAGAAATGGATAAATTCTTCAACACATACACCCTCCCAAGACTAAACCAGGAAGAAATTGAGTCTCTGAATAGACCAATAACAGGATCTGAAATTGAGGCAATAATCAATAGCTTACCAACCAAAATAAGTCCGGGACCAGATGGATTCACAGCCGAATTCTACCACAGGTACAAAGAGGAGCTGGTACCATTCCTTCTGAAACTATTCCAATCAATATAAAAAGAGGGAATCCACCCTAACTCATTTTATGAGGCCAGCATCATCCTGATAACAAAGCCTGGCAGAGACACAACCAAAAAAGAGAATTTTAGACCAATATCCTTGATGAACATCGATGCAAGAATCCTCAATAAAATACTGGCAAACCAAATCCAGCAGCACATCAAAAAGCTTATCCACCATGATCAAGTGGGCTTCATCCCTGGGATGCAAGGCTGGTTCAATATATGCAAATCAATAAATGTAATCCAGCATATAAACAGAACCAAAGACAAAAACCACATGATTATCTCAATAGATGCAGAAAAGGCCTTTGACAAAATTCAACAACCCTTCATGCAAAAAACTCTCAATAAATTAGGTATTGATGGGACATATCTCAAAATAATAAGAGCTATCTATGACAAACCCACAGCCAACATCATACTGAATGGGCAAAAACTGGAAGCATTCCCTTTGAAAATGGGCACAAGACAGGGATGCCCTCTCTCACCACTCCTATTCAACATAGTGTTGGAAGTTCTGGCCAGGGCAATCAGGCAGGAGAAGGAAATGAAGGGTATTCAATTAGGAAAAGAGGAAGTCAAATTGTCCCTGTTTGCAGATGACATGATTGTATATCTAGAAAACCCCACTGTCTCAGCCCCAAATCTCCTCCAGCTGATAAGCAACTTCAGCAAAGTCTCAGGATACAAAAATCAACATACAAAAATCACAAGCATTCTTATACACCAATAACAAACAGAGAGCCAAATCATGAGTGAACTCCCATTCACAATTGCTTCAAAGAGAATAAAATACCTAGGAATCCAACTTAGAAGGGATGTGAAGGACCTCTTCAAGGAGAACTACAAACCACTGCTCAATGAAATAAAAGAGGATACAAACAAATGGAAGAACATTCCATGCTCATGGGTAGGAAGAATCAATATCGTGAAAATGGCTATAGTGCCCAAGGTAATTTATAGATTCAATGCCATCCCCATCAAGCTACCAATGACTTTCTTCACAGAATTGGAAAAAACTACTTTAAAGTTCATATGGAACCAAAAAAGAGCCCGCATTGCCAAGTCGATCCTAAGCCAAAAGAACAAAGCTGGAAGCATCATGCTACCTGACTTCAAACTATACTACAAGGCTACAGTAACCAAAACAGCATGGTACTGGTACCAAAACAGAGATATAGACCAATGGAACAGAACAGAGCCCTCAGAAATAATGTCACATATCTACAACTATCTGATATTTGACAAACCTGAGAAAAACAAGCAATGGGGAAAGGATTCCCTATTTAATAAATGGTGCTGGGAAAACTGGCTAGCCATGTGTAGAAAGCTGAAACTGGATCGCTTCCTTACACCTTATACAAAAATTAATTCAAGATGGATTAAAGACTTAAATGTTAAAACTAAAACCATAAAAACCCTAGAAGAAAACCTAGGCAATACCATTCAGGACACAGGCATGGGCAAGGACTTCATGTCTAAAACACCAAAAGCAATGGCAACAAAAGCCAAAATTGACAAATGGGATCTAATTAAACTAAAGAACTTCTGCACAGCAAAAGAAACTACCATCAGAGTGAATAGGCAACCTACAGAATGGGAGAAAATTTTTGCAACCTACTCATCTGACAAAGGGCTAATATCCAGAATCTACAATGAACTCAAACAAATTTACAAGAAAAAAAAAACAACCCCATCAAAAAGTGGGCAAAGGATATGAACAGACACTTCTCAAAAGAAGACATTTATGCAGCCAAAAAACACACGAAAAAGTGCTCATCATTACTGGCCATCAGAGAAATGCAAATCAAAACCACAATGAGATACCATCTCACACCAGTTAGAATGGTGATCATTAAAATGTCAGGAAACAACAGGTGCTGGAGAGGATGTGGAGAAATAGGAATACTTTTACACTGTTGGTGGGACTGTAAACTAGTTCAACCATTGTGGAAGTCAGTGTGGCGATTCCTCAGGGATCTAGAACTAGAAATACCATTTGACCCAGCCATCCCATTACTGGGTATATACCCAAAGGATTATAAATCATGCTGCTATAAAGACACATGCACACGTATGTTTATTACGGCACTATTCACAATAGCAAAGACTTGGAGCCAACCTAAATGTCCAACAACGATAGACTGGATTAAGAAAATGTGGCACATATACACCATGGAACACTATGCAGCCATAAAAAATGATGAGTTCATGTCCTTTTTAGGGGCATGGATGAAACTGGAAACCATCATTCTCAGCAAACTATCGCAAGGACGAAAAACCAAACACCTCATGTTCTCACTCATAGGTGGGAATTGAACAATGAGAACACATGGACACAGGAAGGGGAACATCACATACCAGGGACTGTTGTGGGGTGGGGGGAGAGGGGAGGGATAGCATTAGGAGATATACCTAATGCTAAATGAGGAGTTAATGGGTGCAGCACACCAACATGGCACATGTATACATATGTAACTAACCTGCACGTTGTGCACATGTACCCTAAAACTTAAAGTATAATAATAATAAAATTAAAAAAAACAAAGAATGCAGGAGATATCTCCTTCTAATTACATTTACAGCTCACTTTCTCTCCTATAGCAAACAGACCCAGGTGTTGTCTTTTTTTTTTTTGACTTGCAAATATTTCGGATTTGTTTGGACAGCAGATTTCTTTCCAGGTTTTTGGAACGCTGAAGTCACTGACACATGGCTATGGAGATATACTGTAGCTGAGTGCAAACATCCCTGATTCCTAGTACAGTCAAACCTGCGTTTTAGGCCATGGTGGGTACAGGGAGGGATGAGCCTGACGTGGAACTGTCCCGGGGGCTGCCGAGAATGGCACTTTTCTGTCTGCAGAGACCTTGAAGAGGAGATCTGAACAAGGTGTATCATCATTTGTCTTGAGCCCTCTCACTCCCCACCTCTCCCCTTACCCTGTCCCAGGGACAGGCTGATTCTACTTCAGATCTCTATTCAGCATTGTTCCCCTTTTGGGAATAGTAATGGAACAGCCTAGATCCCGGGGCATCGTCCTGCCAAATTTCTAGTCTGAGTCTAGCCCCACTTACCATTAGGCTCCCATTAGCCTGTTAGGCCCTCTTATCTAAAGGGCACATATGAAGCAAGACGCAGTCTGGGGAGAACTGGCTGCCAAAGCCAGACACCTTGGGATCCTGCTCATTATTGTGACCTCCCTCATCCCTGAGTTAAAGTCTTAATCTGTGCATACTCGGTGGAAACTTATTTGTCCAAAGTTGTTTGTCTATGTTATTGCTTTAGGGCCTCCAAAGATCTGGCCAAGTTAGGTGGCATTAGAACAAGTATCTTGGCTGGGCGCAGTGGCTCATGCCTGTAATCCCAGCACTTTGGGAGGCTGAGGCTGGCAGATCACGAGGTCAGGAGATCGAGACCATCCTGGCCAACATGGTGAAACCCTGTCTCTACTAAAAATACAAAAATTAGCCAGGTGTGGTGGTGCGTACCTGTAGTCCCAGCTACTAGAGAGGCTGAGGCAGGAGAATCCCTTGAACCTGGCAGGTGGAGGTTGCAGTGAGCCAAGATCGTATCACTGCACTCCAGCCTGGTGACAGAGCAAGACTCCATCTCAAAAAAAAAAAAAAGAGCAAGTATCTCTATTTTTGTTCTCTTCCTGTGCAACTTGGTTGCACTATATAGTTGTACCTTTCTGTTGGTTTTATTTGATTCCAAGAGTGATGATCTTAAGTTTTATATAAATATTAAATATTAAATTTGCCTGCTTGGTGTGCAAGCAAAACCTCTAATCATTAATTTTGGTCAAGTTTAAAACAGAGATTCCCATTTATGGCGCACGTCGGTATAAACACGGCAGCTTTATAAAAATTCCCATGCCTGAGGCCCATCCCCCCAAAATCTATTTTAATTGATTTGGAGTAGGGCCTGGGTATTGATTTTTTTTCTTTTGTTTTTAAAAAGCTCCCTGATGATTCTGTTTGCAGCCAGAATTGAGAGCCGTTGTTCTGAATGATGCCTGAGAAGAGTGTTAATCTGGCGTGTGTCGGGGCAAGGGGAGGCACGGTCGAGGGAGGTGTTAAACTGAGTTGGCTGACTTGTTTTGTCTGTCTTCAGCCCAGTAGCTGGACAGGAACAAAGTCAAGACTACAGTGCAGTTATGTAAGGCTTGAGGATAAGCCTCTTCCACTAAAACTGACTCATTACTGTGTGTATATTCCATTTAAAGCAATCTAGAGCAATAATGTGGAAATACTGGGTGAGAGCCACGTTTTGTGAATATGGTTAGGGCCCAATAATGGTCAATAATCATTCTATGACCAGAATGGAGAAGTGACAGTAAAAAAGAACTCTCCCATTTAAAATAATCTGCACTGGAAATGCCCCAGTGTTTCTCGTAATACCGGCTGATACTGAGCCCAGTAACACACTCATATTGCCTTGAATTTCAAGACAGCACTGTGGTGATCTCTGATGATTCGAGGCTCACATTTTGCCATCTCTTGCACCCGAGCTGAACTTCTGGCTCAGTGTGTCTGAAGGCAGAGTGGGAAGACAATTCAGGTAGCAGAGAAGTGAACAAAGGACATTCCCTGAATAGGCGAATTCAAGCTCGTTAGCAGTTAGTTA
Source organism: Homo sapiens (assembly GCF_000001405.40). NCBI lineage: Eukaryota > Metazoa > Chordata > Mammalia > Primates > Hominidae > Homo > Homo sapiens. The sequence continues at coordinate 197,418,153 of NC_000003.12, forward strand.
GCCTGGAATGAGGCTGATCATCTGTCGGCGGAATTTTTCAGGAGCTGCAAATGGTTGGAATCTTTGTTTTCCTTTTCCTGGGAAAGAGAGGTCCATTAGCTCTCCAGCTGCATTAGAGCTTAATTTATTTTGTTTTGTTTTGGTTTTTAACACTGTAGAGGGGACAGTACATTCCAAATGTTAGAGGACAGCTAAGGGAGATTCGTCCTCTTTAGAGGGTATCATTAAGCATATGGTGCCTCACAGGGATGGGGAAGGCAGTGCACAGGCAGGAGCCAAGACAGGGATTAGCTCATAGAAGGCGGCTGGCTGGATATAGGAAGAGCTGCCAGGTAAAGGGACCCAAGCTTGGGACTTAAAGCTCAGGTCTAGTCGTGTTTTTAAAGAGTTGTCATCTTTCAAACATACAAGGGTAAAGATTTAGGAACTGCCCTCAGGAATGAGATGCATGAAACTCACAGACAAACCGAAATCCCAGAATCTTTGGTACCTAGTGGACATTTCCCTGGGGCTGACTCCTGGGCGGGGTGTCTGCTGCCCTCCACTAACAGCCAGGGAGCCCAGCCCTTGGTATAGGATTCCTGGGCAGGGTGTCTGCTGCCCTCCACTAACAGCCAGGGAGCCCAGCCCTTGGTATAGGAGTACAGGCTGAAGTGCCCAGGGGTTTACCCGATCCCACAGTTTTAGAGGCAAGAAGCTGACATTTAAGGCTTGAATAGTGCTCCTTTTCTAAGTAAATGACAACCTGGAGAAAGGTCTAACTGAGCCAGGTGTTCGACATTTTCAAACTGACTTTCTTTTCAAAGAGACCTGGAAGATTGACTCCCATCGTACTCTCTCCCAGCCTCCCGGTGGAAAGGGAGTCCCTAGTCCCATTGTGGCTCCAGAATGTGACAAAGGCACAGGCACAGGCTCAGCTTGGCTTAGCCTGCTGTCCCTTCCCGAAGGCTGTGTCTTCAGTGGGATGAGAAAGACTTTGGCAGAGGCTTTTAGGCTATGAACAGGCCAGGTGCATTTAGTCAGCAGTGTAAGCTAATACCAGAAAAGATGAAGTAGAGAAAGGCGCTGTGAAATTGCCACCTGAGGCAGAACCATATGAGGCTGAATCCAGGGGAGACCCTGTTTCTCATGGCCCTTGCCTGATGGTCATGATAAATTAAATACAAACACCTACCCATATGCTAGAAATTGATTTCAACTCCTTTACCAAATAAGCAAAATATCGGCATCGATTATGTATAGTTAGATCTCTGTTTGCCAATCAATCTTCTTCTGCAATCCCCGATCTGCGCTAGACAGAGCAAACCCCTTCTCTGTGCCACCTGAGCAGTGCTTTAGTTGGACTCTGCTATGCTCACTGCTTCGGACAGGGAAAGTGACTCTCCCAGGCTACAGTGGACCTGTAACTTACTCATCTTGCATCCTCAGCAGTGGAAGGCTCTTGGTGAACGTCAATGGAATGAACCTGTGTGTGCATGTAGTCCATCTATTATCTCTAATAAACACTGAAAGCCAAAGAACAAGGATGGAGTAATCAGGAAACAGAGAGAGAGGTATCATCAGGTAACCAGGAGGAGTAATCAGGAAATAGAGAGAGAGGTATCATCAGGTAACCAGGAGGTAGAGGCGTAAGGTTGAAACATATGAAATCATTCATAGCCAGTTAGTTTCTCTTCTAACTGACCTTCTAAGTGACCTTCTAAGTGACCTTCTCCTGGTCACCTCACTCCCCACATCCCCAAAGGAGGAAGTGCAGTGGACAGGTGTTGGCTGAGAGTCCAGAGGACCTGGATCAAGAGTCAGGAGGGTGGGCTTCTCTCTAATTGAACGTGTGGCTTGGAGTCAGTTCCTCTCCTTTTCTGGGCTTCAGTTTCCCCTTCTCTAGAAGAAGAATAGACTAGGTGGCCTCTCAAAGTCTTTACAGCTCTGATATTTTGTAATTTTATGTATCTAATGCTATAATTCCAAAGTATTAAAGAAAAGGGCAGTGCCCCATGGTTTGAGGGGCAGAGACTATAGCACAGATTGCACCAAACCCTGAATTTACCCAGCAGCCTTTGGCCCTGGAGGACCTAAGTGAGTTTCAGCCTGAAAACACTCAGTGTTTCCAATGCCAGACCCCAGCTGCACAAAATAGGAAAAATCTTGTTAGGAAATGACCACAGTCCCCTAGAGCTGTGGAAAACATTGCCTCAGACAAAAAGGACTTTTCCATTGGGAAAAAAAAATCAGCAGTATTGTGTCTGCTGATGCTGTCTGCCCAGGCGGTTCTCATCGAGTCCTGCCTACTCAGGTCCCTGGCTCTGGGGCAGTTCTTTTCCACTTCATGTTGGTCCTAATGGTAAATGCAGGTTGTTCTCCTCTTCTGGCCCCAACTGTCCCAGGAATCAGACTTGGAAGTCATTTTAAAATTCATCTTTGGACTGTCTGACTTTTCAATACTTCCTCCAGAGGCAAAAATCACAAAATGCTTTCACCGCAATGGGTCTCAGAAGTTATCTCGTGATACCTATTTAATCCCCTGTCTGTGGAGGAACATGACGTCCCAGGTAGGGAAGTGCATTGCTCAAGGTCACATAGAGAGGTCAGGGGACCTGGTCCTGAGCCCAGTTCAGGGTTCTTTCCATTTCCAAGCTGTCTCTAGCCACAGGGCCAATTCTCTTCTACCTTCCCACAGCAGATGTTTCCCAACCAACCAACTAGCCAACCAGCTAACCAACCTGCAAGTATTTCCTATAAGCCTTGGACTGTGCATTCTCTGATGCTCTGCTGTAAACGATTATTTTTTTACTGTTCCAAAATGCAGCAGTAAAGAGTAAGCACTCACCTTTGGGGGCAGAGCAGAACTGGCCTGCTTCTTTGAGTCCTGCTTCGATTTCTGGAGCTTAAACATAGTGTCCCATCATTCCTTGAAGACATGCAGCTGCTAAGAAAGAGTTGCATATTTGTAAGTGGGGGCCAGTGAGAGATGTCTGGTCAGACCCCAGTTCTGGGGCGGGGTGGCTTTGGTCTGAGTGGTGGTCAGACCTATGCAGGAAGCCGCACCAGGCAGAGAGGAGGCCTCGGCCCGCCCAGGTTCCCACCCAGGTGTCCACCCTGGTGCAGTCCCCTCTGTCTGCCACCACGAGGACCTCTTCCTGAGGTTCCAAAGTTGAGCCGAGTGTAGTCCTTGCCCAGTCGATGCTTTCTGGGCTCACTCTCTCAAAAAGGAAGTAGCCCCTTTTATTCTTAGACCACCACAGATGCAGACAAAGCCCGGATTTTAAAGAGGAAATTTCTACTAAAATAAAATAGAAAATAAACAAAACCTAGATAAGATTATATTTATAGACTATAATTTTCTAAATAAAATGTAAAATGCACATTTATGGTAGAAAACGTGGAAATATATGTTTTAAGAATTCATAAGCCCACCCATCGCCTAGCCCAGTGCCGCCTCTGACACGGTAGCAAGTAAGCATGCGCTGCTCCCGAGCATTGGAAATGCGGCTGATCTGAACGGAGATGCACTGTAAGTATAAAATATACACCGGAGTGGAAGATTTAGTTCAAAAAATGTAAAATATCTCATTAATACTTTCAAAAATACTCATTACATGCCTGAGATGATAACATTCTGGATATATTGGACAATACATAATTTTTTTTTTTTTTTAGAGTCCAGTGGCATGATCTTGGCTCACTGCAACATCTGCCTCCCAGGTTCAAGCAATTCTCCTACCTCAGACTCCCGAGTAGCTGGGATTACAGGCATCCGCCACCACACCCAGCTAATTTTTGTATCTTTAGTAGAGACAGGGTTTCGCCACGTTGGTCACGCGGTCTCAAACTCCTGACCTCAGATGATTCACCCGTCCTCGGCCTCCCAAAGTGCTGGGATTACAGGTGTGAGTCACTGCACCCATCCAGCCAACAAATATATTATTAAAATTAATTTGACCTGTTCCTTTTTACTGTTTTCAGAAGCTACTAAAAACCGTAAAATCATATATATGACTCACATCACATGTCTGTTGGACGGCCCTGACCAAGAGAAACCACGGATAACATTCTGGCGCACCTGCTCCATTGTGGGGTGTATGTATTTGACGAGTCTGGCTCCTGGTCAAACACCTATGTGTGATTTTTCAGGTCTGACTGCAAGCAATGGCAGAGGCTTGACCTGGCAGCCCTCCTGGGGAAGCTCCCCTCCCCACACCAGACCTGGTGCCCAGCCAGCACACAGGAGGCTCTGAGGGGAGTTAAGGACTCAGCCCTGCTATGCTATGCTCTTCACATATTTGCATTCCTAGCCCAGTGTCTTCATTCCTAAATCTCTTTCTCTGAGGCCTTCGGCTGAGGTTTTTTTTCAGGTGCCTCTTCCGAGGCCTCTTTACCAGGGGGAGGAGGGCGAACCCTGAAGACATGCTTCCCCACTCTGAATCAGCACCCAGGATTTTTCCACTCTACCCCACACCCCGACCCCAGGGTCCATAAAACTGCTGGAGCCTTTGGTTGGGGGCTCCCTCAACAGTGCAATGTCCGCCACATCTGCACGGATCCACCTGACCCTTGAACGGTGCACTGTTTCATGGGGAAAATGAAACAGGAGAGCCAGCGGCTTCTCTGGCTTTAGCCTCCTGTTTATATTAACACTGTTATAGCAAGTGATTAAAGGCTGCACTGTTACTTTTTTTTTTTTGGCTCATTCTTGCTGTGATGGGCTACTCTGACACCTGACAGCTCAGCTCTCTCTCCCAGCTTAGCAGAACTCCCAACAGTATTTTTTAAATTTTTTTGGGGGGGCTGGACAGAGTCTCACTCTGTTGCCCAGGCTTGAGGGCAATAGCGCAATCTTGGCTCACTGCAACCTCCACCTCCCAGGTTCAAGTGATTCTCCTGTGTCCGCCTCCTGAGTAGCTGGGATTACAGGCACCTGCCACCACGCCCAGCTAATTTTTGTAATTTTAGTAGAGATGGAATTTTGCCATATTGGCCAGGCTGGTCTTGAACTCCTGACCTCAAGTGATCCGCCTGCCTCAGCCTCCCAAAGTGCTGGGATTACAGGCATGAGCCACAGCGCCCAGCCCTCCCAACAGTATTTTTAAAAACAAAACAGTAATCATATTGAAATACAATTATATCTGTATCAGTCAGGATCCCAACAGGAGACAAATGGCACTGTCAAGTTAGGGTAACTCAGGGAGGTTTTATTTATAAAAAGCTAACTAATAATAAACTTAAGGTTGGAGTGTAGGAGAACGAAAAAAATAGCTCAGAACCTCAGGGCTGGCGGCGGCAGACCTATGACCATCCCTAAGTCCTAAGGGACCCGAGGAGGGATGGGCTCCCAGAACCAGGAAAGCGAGGCAGCTGTGCTTAGGACCCGAGGAGGGATGGGCTCCCAGAACCAGGAAAGAGAGGCAGCTGTGCTCAGGACCCGAGGAGGGATGGGCTCCCAGAACTAGGAAAGAGAGGCAGCTGTGCTCAGGACCCGAGGAGGGATGGGCTCCCAGAACCAGGAAAGAGAGGCAGCTGTGCGGAGCTGGGGGGCACTTAAAGGAAGAAAACGACCAGCCCAGGGCACGGGCATAGGAATGCAGCCAGGGAAATAAGCACCCTGGAGTCCCTTTTCTCCTTCCCCCTGATTTGCTAAGGCTCTTCATTGGCTGAATCCAGTCAGAAGCTGGAGGAGATGGAGTCCCTGTTGCCCTAGTCCTCTTTCAGTGCAGGAGGCAATGGAGGTGGCCGGAGATGGGAGTAGGAGGATGGGGTGAATCTATACAGGCAAAGAGCTGACTGTGACCAGCCTGGACAACACGTCGAAAACCCGTCTCTACTAAAAATACAAAAACTAGGCAGGTGTCGGGAGGCTGAGGCAGGAGAATCACTTGAACCCAGGAGGCGGAGGTTGCAGTGAGCCAAGATCGTGCCATGGCACTCCAGCTTGGGCGACAAGAGTGAAACCCCATCACAAAAATTAGCCAGGCATGGTGGCGCGCCTGTAATCCCAGCTACTTGGGACGATGGGGCAGGAGAATCACTTGAACCCAGGAGGTGGAGATTGCAGTGAGCCGAGATCGAGCCACTGCACTCCAGCCTGGGCGACAGAGCGACAGAGGGAGACTCCATCTCAAAAAACAAACAAACAAACAAAGAGCTGTCCGCACTTCTGCACTTTTTCCTTGCAGCATTGCCCTAAGTCGTAGCCTAATTGCCCTATTTCCTTGTTAATGTAACAAGTCTTAGTCCCTACGGTGACCGAGTGGGCGCAATTTACCAAACACCCCACCCAATGCCTCTATCCTGTCTGGGTTTCTAGCCTGAGCTAGATTCAGAGGGCACTATCTGATGGGGTGTGTCTGCACACACACATGCACGCGTATTGTACTCTTAGTCCCTATCAGAATACGCTTCCTTCAGTCTTAGCGGTGGGTGTGAGCCCCCGGGCCTCTGTGTCTCTAGCCTTGTAGAGCTCATCCACTGTGTCTTCGATGGGCTGCTTCCTTTGAATCCTGCCCTCATTTCCACTGTCCTCAGCCTCTGCTTTATTGAGATGAGTCCCACACCTCCCACCCACTCCACCCCACTCCTTGCTGGCTAAGCACAAGTGCCTGGTACCCTCCAAAAAAATCGTTAGTCTACGAAAAAGGGGGAATCTGGAAAAGATGGGAGTGACCTCTGTAAGCTAAGATTTCCAGAGCTAAGTGCACTCCCCTGGGAGAGCACGCAGACCTCCACTCCCTAATTGAGTCTTCAATTGTCTAGTTTAAGTTTGCTGGAAAATTAGATGAAAAAACTCCCCAGGCTTCACACTCCTGGAGCCAAGGGCCGGGAGAAGGAAGGTTGCACAGACTCTTGTCGTCTACATAAAAGGCAAGGGGGTGCTGAGCTGGGGCTGAGATCCACCAAAGACCAGGTCAGGGTTTAAGGGTGAGTTGGGGGACCTGTGCTCAGGGACAAGGAGGCTCATTTGCACAGGAAGAAGGAGCCTAAGAGAGGGGCATAGAAAACACTGAGAGAAGGTAATGCTGTGGCAGGGATGTGGCGAGCAGAAGGGAGTCGTTTTATAGAACAGGAAACAATCTGTTGCGGGGATTATTATACCTCCTGAGGAAGAAAAGGCAATTTAATTTTTTGGGAGAAGGCGATTGGAGTGTAAACTGACGAGGATGCCGTCTGAAAGAGCATTCATTCTCTGCTTGTCAAGACTCTGGAAATGCAGAGGGCCCCGGTATCCTACCAGAAGCAAGCCCCAGGGTGCAAGCAAGTCTTTCTGGCTGGAAGGAAGGTGCAGGCGCAGCAGTGATGTCCTTCCAGCACTGTGCCTGGCACAAGTGGGCGCCCAGCATGTTCATGCCCACCTGGCTGTTGCTGTCTGCCCTGTCACCCGCATCCACATCAGATGCATCTCCAGACTCCTTCATTCATTCCCTCATTCGTTCACTTGTCTGACAAATGCTTACGGAGCTCCTTGCTCTGTGCTGAGCATAGCGCTAGGCACCGAAGGAGATGAAAGAAAAATAAGTTAGGGTTTTCACCTCCGGAGAGCTGATAGTCTAGTGGAGAAGCAAACCAATGAACACATTTCTAAGTCTCCAACGCAGTCAAGGACGGCGACAGGGAAGAGCTCGATGTGATGGTGTAAGGACTAAGGAGGGGTTGAGAAGGCTTCTCTTACAAGTGGAGAGCCGAGAAAAAAAAAAAACAGGGACTGAAAGAAAGTCCTAAGAAGGAGGAAGAGAATTAGAGGAGATTTATTCCCCTAGTCCAGTAGGCAGAAGCTCAGCAAATATTTTTTGGCCCACACCCAATAAAAATTGAATCCATAAATCATAAAGATTTAATAATTAGTCTTGTGAATCCTGTGACGAATACAGCTTTTCTCTTGAATTTATGGAGGAAGATGGAGTTTCCGTGTTCAGTTTTCCATGGATAAGGATAAGGGACCCTGGGTTCCCTTTGTGTTCCCCACTCCCCTAGGGACGGTCCTTGAGCAGCTGCGGAAGAGTGTACGGATCTGAGGAACTGGTAACAGTGAAGAGCTGTGGAATGATCCCTGGGTGGGGAGTCCAAGTTTCCAAGCCAGGGCGACTGAGAAATTGCCAACCACAGTTCAGGGTCTTTGAAGCATTCCTGAGTAAGAACCTGAGAAGCCGGTCCCGCTAGGCCTTGAGATTTCTCTTGGATGGGAGGCCTTTGCTTCTGTCTCCCTTGTCCAGCTTCACCCTCTGGTTTAGACTCAAATTTGCCTCCTCCACCTGGGAAATCTGCTCCCCCTGGAATGGGGCTCAGAGCACCTCCCATTCCCAGTCCCTCCACCCTGTCATAATCCGCTTCCTGGATGTCTAGCAAAATACCCCCACCTAAGGCAGAACTGGCATGGCTCCAGGATCCACTTCTGTTAAGCTCAGAGGAATCTGGCCACAGCAGAAATAATGGCCTCTAAAAAGTAGTCCCTTTTTCTTTTTTTCTTTTTTTCTTTTTTTTTTTTTTTTGAGACAGAGTTTCACTCTTGTTGCCCAGGCTGGAGTGCAATGACGCGATCTCGGCTCACTGCAACCTCTGCCTTTCAGGTTCAAGTGATTCTCCTGCCTTAGCCTCCCTAGTAGCTGGGATTACAGGCACTCGCCACCACGCCCAGCTAATTTTTTGTATTTTTAGTAGAGAGAGGTGTTCACTATGTTGACCAGGCTGGTCTCAAACTCCTCACCTCAGGCAATCCACCCGCCTCAACCTCCCAAGTGCTGGGATTACAGGTGTGAGCCACCATGCCCAGCTAGAAGTCTGTTTTTCTAATATATCCTCCCATTCTCTTTCCCACAGGACTGGGCCCACTGGCCTTCCCACTGTCATTCACCACCACCAGCCCTTTGAGAGCCTGCCATTCTGGAACCTTCTTTTCCAGCCACAGTCTTAAGATGATGAGCAACCTCTGCAGAAAGAATGTAAAGTTACAACACGCACACAGATCCCATCAAGATGAGAGTGAGTGGAGATGATGCCCTATTTCCAAGCAGCTCAGAGTGCATGTGTGCCAGACACGAGCGGACTGCCGGAGATAGCTGACACAGATCCGAGGACACAGAAGGAGGCTCTTTAAAAAGCCAGAGCAACAGCTAGCATGTGAGAGGTCTGATTAATCCACCAAGGGCTTATCTATGCATCAACAAACAGCGATGGTCTGTGTCTTGTTCCCTGGATACTTCCTGGCTCATGCAAGACACTCGGTATTTATTTGTTAGATGAGCGATAAATACATGAATACTTAGACTCATTTGTCTCAAATTGCCTGAGGTTTTAACTACCCCAACCAGATATTTTGGAATCATAAACACCCAGGCATTGAATATTTAAATACATATGCAAACACCTGGAGTTCACTAATTTCCTTGTGATTTGTCCCCTGGGAGGCTGTGCACCGCTAGGCAGAGAATGGAAGAAAATCTCTGGTGCTTGTTGATAATCACAGAGAAAGATGAACTTGTGGTATATGTGTATGATAGTGTGTAGCCAAGGACAGGAAAAACGAGACAATGATTCTGTAATGGAAAAAAATCTCAAGTCTTCAATATTTGTCTTTACGAGGACTCCCCTGATCAGCTCCTGTGAGCAGGGCCCCATCCCTTGCTGTCAGTATCAGCCTCCAGGAACCTGCTGTAAGTTTAAATGGGCCCTCCAGTTCTCAAGAGGTTGCTGTCCACTTTCCCAGCCCTGGGACCCTCGCATATGGCTGTCGGTGACTTGTGCAGGAATTTAGTTCTGTCGCCATCTCACCGCAAGAAAGAATGTCCTAACTGTCCAGCAGATGCTGGTTGTCCCCACTCGGAGACAATGATGGACTGGGTAATTCTGTAATTGGGCTAGACCTGCTGCCGACCCACTCTCTGGGCCCCATGGCTCAATGTTGGCTAAGGGAGTAGTGGATTCTGCTTCCACCTTAGTGAGGGCCAAAGATGCTGGAGAAGGAGGTAGGTACCAAGAATCATAGAACAAAGGTGCTTATTAGACAAGGAAGAGATTGCTCCACGTGACTCCAGTGGGCTTGGAATGGGCCTGGGTGGCAGCTGAAATGTGACAGATGCCAGGCAAGCTTTCCAGCTTCACAGAGATCTGACTTAGCCTTCCAGCTGATGCACACGCAGGGGAAGCCAGGGCTGTGGCAGGAAAAGGGGCGTTCCCAGGGTGTGGCAACTAGTGCGGCTTGGGGACAGGGCTGTTCACAGCTATGCTGCTTGAGAGAGCAGGGCTCACTGAGCAAGGAGAAGGGCGGTGGCTACAACCAGCCACATTGAAAAGACGCTTGCTTCTCCTAAATCACAAACTTTCCCTCAACACTGGCGGGAAGCTGTTTATATTTCCCAGCAAAAGACTGAGCAGAGTTTAAGATGAACAACAGATTGCAAACTTTCCTTCTCTTTGAGTGGTGATGGAGGTGGGAGGGGATAGAGACGTGTGGAAACACACAGAGATACAGCCATGATGAATCAGTTTGTCTGCGAAGTATTTGACCACACACATTAAACAAATTGGAAATTAGCAGTCAGCTCTAACATCTCTTTATACCCAAGTGACAAAACTCAGACAATTAAGCTTCTGTTTCTCTGACGTTTTAACAGCAGGAAATAAAAATCTAGCAATAATAGACAGCAAATTCCTTCTTTTGTCTGGAGGGCAGGGGAATGGGGAATAAAAATATATCTTGTACCTTCATCATTTAATAGATTTTAGTGGAATTACCAGGCCAGAAAGTATCCTATTACATGGAAAGAAACAGACTGGGTTTCCAGTTTATTACTAACTTAGGGATCGCTGCATGATTTGAGCTGATGTTTTCTTTTTCTTTTTTCTTTCTCCTTTTTTAATGAAAACGAAAGTCCTTTGTGTGCAGTCTCTCTGAACTTTCAGAACAATGTAAGAACTTTAAGAACAATGTTCTTAAGTCACACGATTCCTTCGGGGACACACGAAGCGCACTTCTAAACCCATAATCCTGGGCTATAAAAAGGATCTGGGGCGGGTGATCAAAGGTGAACTGCCCATTTACAACCTCTCTTTCAAGCCCCCTTCCCATCTCCCTGACAGTTTTATAGAAGTCCTTCTCTTTTGCTCCAACCCAGATCAAAGACTTGGATAGAGGGGTCTCCCCACCCTCCTGCCTGGCATGGAAGGAAGGGATTACCCCCGAAATTAGAAACCCCAGTGCAGTGGGCTTACCCTCCTACCTGGGGGATAGGGGGTGAGACCTGGAGCCTCTCTTGTCAATAGGAACAGACCAGGACAAAGATGGGATAAACTCAGGGTGCCCCGCTCTGTTCTGGCAGCAGAGGAGACAAACTTGCTCTCTCTTCCCTTCAGCCTTCAAAAGAGAAATTCTCTGATCTTCTGTGCACAGGTTTTAGTTAACATCTACAAGTTGCTAGGATCATGTTTATGTTATCAGTAAACCTTCCCTTCCCTCCCACCCAAGTAATAGTCCCCATCCAGAGCATCAGAAGCTCCCCCTAAACTCTGAGTCTGAGATATCGGGGAGCTGAGGGAGGCGGGAAGAAGCTGCAAGGTGTGTGGCATCAATTCAGGTCACAGCCTCATCCATTTGTTCATTTGTTCTCAATACGACTCCCTACTTTTGCCTGGACATGCTGGGATCTGCTTAGGACTTGGGGGTGAAGGTACATTTCCTGGGAATACTTATTCGAGGGCTGGAAGTGCCTCAGTCCCCAGAGACTCCCCACCTAGTCCTGAAAGGAGACACCAAGAGTTAGGTAGGAGCAGGAGCACCAGGAAGCCGCCATTACTCTGAGACTCTCCAGGCCTACTTCCCTCTTCTATTCAGCATGGACCCAGCACACTAGTTAGTGCAGACCCTCCATGACAGGGTGTTCACAGAGATGAAACACACAAGCTCTCCAAATCCTGGCATCTTCTCCTTTGAAGGGACTTGAAAAATTATCTAAGACTCTCCCACTGTGGTATAAAAGAATCTTAAACAGAGAAGCAGCACAATCCCAGTTCACCCAGAGTCACCTGCTCAAGCCACATCCTGAAGCCAGATACCCTGACTCAGCAGGACCTCTGCGGCCAGGCGCGGTAGCTCATGCCTGTAATCCCAGCACTTTGGGAGCCCAAGGCAAGCAGATCACGAGGTCAGGAGAACAAAACTTTCCTGGCCAACACGGTGAAACCCCATCTCTACTAAAAATACACAAAAAAATTAGTGAGGTGTGGTGGCAAGCGCCTGTAATCCCAGCTACTTGGGAGGCTGAGGCAGGAGAATCACTTGAACCTGGGAGGCGGAGGTTGCAGTGAGCCAAGATCGTGTCACTGCACTCCAGCCTGGGCGACAGAGCAAGACTCTGTCTCAAAAAAAAAAAAAAGAAAAAGAAAAAGAAAAGAAAAAAAGAAAAAAGAAGGCCCTCTGCTACCCCAACTGCTGCCTTAGGTCTCCACATACGTTGCCCCACAAAGGAAATTCGGCTCCTAGAGAGCTTCGTCCCTCTGGGGCTGCTAGGGAACTCATTTGACGTTCTCTCTGTCACTTGTAGGAAATGTTACAAAATTGTGTTTGCATTGAAGCTTTTCTTTCTTCCAGACGTATTGTGTCATCATCTAGTAGGCTAACTAGTTGTTTTAACAGATGATATTATGGTTTGAAAGTGGATTATGCCTGTTCTTTCCCTGTTCTTCTACACACAGTCAAACGGGTCTTTTTGATGATTTATCTTTAGCTTCCCTCAACCCTTGAAACGTCAACCTTCTCTATGCTTTTGATTTCCTCTGAGATTCGTAAGAGTTTGTGACATTCTTCTGTATACACCCTTGATTTTGTGCCCCTCCTTCCATCTTTGTGTGTGTTCTCTTCAAATTGGCGCTCATCAGCAGAAATGCTGTTTTCTTTGGATGTCTCTTTTCTTCCTCATTAGGATCATTTGCAATTTTAGGTTCTGAATTTTATTTTTAGAGCCATCCTTTCTTAGCCATACTCCCTTTCAGAGGTTCTCACTATGAGATCATCTGTTTTGAATGTTTTGAAATCTGCTTTCCTCAAGTCTGTAAGTCTGAAGACACACATCCTGCTTTAATAGGATGGACACTGGCCCAAGCTGTTATTATTTTCACATAACTCACAGTTCTTTGCTGGTCCTCTTGCTGTTACTTGTTTCTTTCAAGTGATGAAAATTATAATCAGGCTACTTAAAACTTTACCAAGTGCTCTGCTTTTTAAAGAAATAGGAGGCTTATAGGCTTCCACACAATGTATTTTTTTAAGTCAACATTTGTCATTGTATTTTGCCGTGATGCTAGTTTCCAAAGATGTCTGCAACAACAACTCCCATCCAATGTTATCTTCTAACTATGTGACTCTGACATTTCTCCCCTCAAAATGTGGGATCTCCACTCCCACCTCCTAGGGTGGGCAGGCTTGTGACTGTGGCAGAAGGAATGCCATGCAACTTTCAAGGCTGGATCATGAAAAGTGATGCAGCTTCTATCTGGCTCTTTCTGGGGATGCTTGTTCTTAGAACCCAGCAGCCACGCTATGGGGAAGACCCATTAGGTCATGTGAGAAATTACATGAAGAAGTCAAATGTAGGTATTCTGGATGATGGCCCAAGCGAGGTCCCAGCGAACAGTCACACCAGAGCGAGACATATGAGCGGAAGGCAGCCCCCAGATTATTCCAGCCCTCAGCCACACCCAACTGAGGTCCCAGATATTGTGGGGCAAAGACAAGCCATCTCTGCTTTGGCCTGTCTGAATTCCTGATCCACAGAAACCATGAAAGATAATAAAATGATTTTTTTAAACCACTGAGTTTTTTGAGATGATTTGTAATGCAGCAATGGAGAACTCATGCAATAATTAAAACCCATTAACTAAGAAATAAAAATTAAGACTCATTACGGATACATCATCTATACTCTTCTTCTGATTGATTGGTTCTTAATTTACTCCCATTCCAAAATTCTATCCCTGTAATTCAGTTCCAATTCCACCAGACGGAAGGGCAGCCATGACTGCATTGGTCCCAGTCATTGGACAGAGACAGGACAAATTGGAATCACTTACTCTTGGCTATAAAAGCAATTAGATCATCCTTGCTTAGTATACTGTGTGAACTTTTAAAAGAGCAAAATTAAAACATCTCTCACATACTTCTGTAGCTGATTAACATAACACAATTCTAGCAGACCCCCTATTGGAAAATATTCCTTCATTTTCCAACTTCTTGAGTCAGAGAGCATTTAGTTGCAATGAACAGAACTCATTCAAGCTAACATAAGCAAAAAAGAACATTGATTAGAAATAGAGGGATCTGGTGGAGCCCCAAGACAGGAAATGAGGCCAGGCTTCATAGGAATTAATGCCAGAAACTGCAAAGCTGACAAGAGCCAGACTGGCTTGTCTCTCCAAATCTCTTTCTCTCTAGAGCTATATTGTCTTTTATTTCTGGCTCTCTAAGGCACATGCCTTCTCAATCTCTCTCTCTCTCTCCAGAGAACAGTTTAGCATGTGGTATGTGATTAAGGGCAGTCTCCAAGCCAGGGTGCTAAATGCCAGCCCCACGACTTAGTTATTGGTGACTCTGGGCAAGTTCCTTAAGCTTCTGTTCTTCAGTTTCCTCATTTGTAAAGTGGGAATAAAGATAACAATGGTACTTTTACCTCATAAGATTGTTGTGAGATTGAATCAATATATGTAAAGTTCTTTGAACAGTGCCAGGCACGTTGCAAGCGTTTGCTTTCATTATTATCTTTCTTTGCTCACTTAACCATGTCTGAACATGGGTGCCTTGATACTAGCTTTTTATCTGTCTCAGTCTGTTTGTGCAGCTGTGACAAAATATCTTAGACTGGGTAATGTGTAAATAATAGGAATTTGTTTCTCACAGTTCTAGAGGCTGGGAAGTTCAAGATCAAGATGTCAGCAGATTAAGTGTCAGGTGAGGGCTCACTCTCTGCTTCCAAGATGAAGCCTTGTTGCGTGGTGGAAGGCAGCAAAAGCGATGAACTGTGTTCTTATACAGCAGAAGAGATGGAGGGGCAAAAAGGGATTAGGGTGCCCTCTTCAACCTCTTTGATGAGAGCATTAATCCCATTCATGAGAGTAGAATACTCATGACTTAATCACTTCCCAAAAGACCCTACCTCTTAATACGATCGCGTTGGGTATTAGATCTGAACAGTTGAGTTTTGGAGGTACACATACATTCAAACCATAGCAATAACCAACCCATAGTTCAAGTGCTTATCAGAAACCTAAGTTTCCAGCCGGGCACGGTGGCTCATGCCTGTAATCCCAGCACTTTGGGAGACCAAGGCTGGTGGATCATGAGGTCAGGAGTTCAAGACCAGCCTGGCCAACATGGTGAAACCCTGTCTCTACTCAAAATACAAAAATTAGCCAGGTGTGGTGGTGCATGCCTGCAATCCCAGCTACTCAGGAGGCTGAGGCAGGAGAATGACTTGAACCTGGGAGACAGAGATTGCGGTGAGCAGAGCTTAGATTGTGCCACTGCACTTCAGCCTGGATGACAGAGCGAGACTCCATCTCAAAAAAAAAAAAAAAAAAAAATCTAAGTTTCCGCGACCCAAATTTACATTCCTAGGTCAGAACGTGTCTGACTGGACCAGCTGGAGTTACGTGCCTGCCCACGATCTAATCAGCTGTGGCAGACGGTTAAGGGAGTGAGTGCTGAGGGGACTCAGCAGGGAGACAGGGAGTTGATTCTCTGAGAAGGGGCTGTGGGCTGGGCTGGGAAGAGGGCTTGCCCGCCACTACTCCCACCTCCATTTTCACATACGGCAGCTCTGCTATGTCAAACCTCAGCTTTAGCTCCCTGCTAAGCAGAAACTCTTCCTATTATTGACTGACCCAAACAGCATGAAGAAGGTGTCTTCCTTTAGCCAACGAGCACTTCTCTCTCCACATAACTCTCTCCACGTAACTAGTCTCCTCTCTCCACATAACTAGTCTCCTCTCTCCACATAACTCTCTCCACATAACTAGTCTCCTCTCTCCACATAACTAGTCTCCTCCCTCCACATAACTAGTCTTCTCTCTCCACATAACTAGTCTCCTCCCTCCACATAACTAGTCTCCTCTCTCCACATAACTCTCTCCACTTAACTAGTCTCCTCTCTCCACATAGTCTCCTGTCTCCGCTTGGCAATGAGGGCTCTAGTCCTCTGAGAAGCCAAAACACAAGTATCTCTTTATACTAGAAGATGACTTTTACAAATCTTCCCCTAGATTTTCCCCTCAGAAGTCAGCAAATTGTCCCTCTCACAGGGAAGACAAAAGGAAGAATCACTTCAGATCCCTCCCATTTGGTATTGTACTTTTTTTTTTTTTTTAATGGAGTCTCACTCTGTCGTGCAGGCTGGAATGCAGTGGTGCGATCTCAGCTCACTGCAACCTCTGCCTCCCAGGTTCAAGCAATTCTCCTGCCTCAGCCTCCCAAGTAGCTGGGATTACAGGCACGCGCCTCCATGCCCAGCTAGGTATTGTGCACTTAAGCTACTGATATTACACGTGGTGACTGTTAACTTGTTGAGTCTCCCACCAGTAATAGCAACTTCGAGAAACAACACTTAAAGTTATTGATCTCACCATACAGAAAAAGCAAATTAAGCAGAATGTTGAACAGAATGTGAATTGGCTAATCAAAAGGATAATGAGGTTTAAGGGAATACGGTGCCTTTCATTTCTATATATTATTCCAATCTCTATTCGATGCGGCCATTTGGGGTAAAATGCTATGAAACAGCATATTTCAAACCCTGTTCTTCAGAAATACTTGAATGTCACGGACAAATCGATAGCTCTTTAAATCACAGAGCTGCGCTCATTAGTGGTCCTCCCTTGGGGAGGAGATGGCTGCATCTGCCTACTCGGCGGGAATAGGCCAGCCTCCAAACTGGCATGAGCTGACCTTTCCTTGGGCTTGTTACTCTCTTATTGGTGATTCTTTCTGTAAAGTCTCAGAAACCTTAGTTTGCAATTGCCAATATGCTTGTTGTTTTAGGGTGTCACCATTAGACTGAGTGTCTGAGCAAGGCTATTAAGCATTGTGTATTCCTGAGAGGATCCTTTCAGAGAAAACAAGAGGTTGTTTTACGGGGAAATGACCCATGGCTCAGTATTAGCTCCATTAAATGACAGACAAGAAAGGAGGTATAATGTTCCCATCAAGTAGAATGAGAAGATTGCTCCCAACTTGTGGTCCCTGTTTCCTATATCCAATGCCCTCATTTCCTTTCCTCTGATTCCTCCTTTAGTGAATTGATTGCTTCCCCCATTTTTCTTCATGGAAATTGCTCTCTATGCAAGGTTATCAGACTTATTTGCAGTTTGAGCCAAAGAAGCAACATCTTTCACTCCATCCACTTCTACTGGAAGTAGACTGGACTATCTTAATCCAATATAATAGAAGCTTAAGAGAAAACAAGCGTGGCCTGTTATTAAATTATTGCCAAATACTTTACAAACTGTAAATGTCAGAAAAAACTACACACAAAAGCTCTAAGGCATGTGGAGACAAGTAATACAATTTACTTCAATAATAAGTATAGAGTTACTTATGCTCAACTCAGAAGCCCACAAGAAGTATATTTTTTGCCGAACTTCGCTGACCAACTCCTCCAAAGGGGCCACTCAACTTCTCTCTAGCCCATCACTCTATTTTAATTTTTTGCATAGCACTTACCACTCTGATATTTTTATAGTTCATGTTTATATTTGTTTTTTACTTATTTATTGTTTATATTTTCTACTAGAATGTAGTCCTTTTCTGTCTCTCTCTCTTACCACTGTATTCTCAATGCCTAGAACAGAGCCTAGTATATAGTAGGCACTCAATAAATACTTGTTGCATTAATGCACCGCCGAGTGCTGGGCCTCCTGGCTTCACCACCAGCTCCTAAAGAGAGTATCTTCCATCTTCCTTCCCCTCTTTAGCGTGGAGCCCTGCTGGCTCTTCATAATCCGTGTCTGGGGTTAGAGTGGAGCCCTGCTGGCTCTTCATAATCCGTGTCTGGGGTTACAGTGGAGCCCTGCTGGCTCTTCATAATCCGTGTCTGGGGTTACAGTGGAGCCCTGCTGGCCCTCCATAATCCGTGTCTGGGGTTGGAGTGGAGCCCTGCTGGCTCTCCATAATCCGTGTCTGGGGTTGGAGTGGAGCCCTGTTGGCTCTCCATAATCCATGTCTGGGGTTACAGTGGAGCCCTGCTGGCCCTCCATAATCCATGTCTGGGGTTGGAGTGGAGCCCTGTTGGCCCTCCATAATCCATGTCTGGGGTTAGAGTGGAGCCCTGCTGGCTCTTCATAATCCATGTCTAGGGTTAGAGTGGAGCCCTGCTGGCTCTTCATAATCCGTGTCTGGGGTTAGAGTGGAGCCCTGCTGGCTCTCCATAATCCATGTCTGGGATTAGAGTGGAGCCCTGCTGGCCCTCCATAATCCGTGTCTGGGGTTAGAGTGGAGCCCTGCTGGCCCTCCATAATCCGTGTCTGGGGTTAGAGTGGAGCCCTGCTGGCCCTCCATAATCCGTGTCTGGGGTTAGAGTGGAGCCCTGCTGGCTCTCCATAATCCGTGTCTGGGGTTGGAGTGGAGCTCTGTTGGCTCTCCATAATCCATGTCTGGGGTTAGAGTGGAGCCCTGCTGGCTCTTCATAATCCGTGTCTGGGGTTACAGTGGAGCCCTGCTGGCTCTTCATAATCCGTGTCTGGGGTTACAGTGGAGCCCTGCTGGCTCTTCATAATCCGTGTCTGGGGTTAGAGTGGAGCCCTGCTGGCTCTTCATAATCTGTGTCTGGGGTTAGAGTGGAGCCCTGCTGGCCCTCCATAATCCGTGTCTGGGGTTAGAGTGGAGCCCTGCTGGCTCTTCATAATCCGTGTATGGGGTTAGAGTGGAGCCCTGCTGGCCCTCCATAATCCGTGTCTGGGGTTAGAGTGGAGCCCTGCTGGCTCTCCATAATCCGTGTCTGGGGTTGGAGTGGAGCCCTGTTGGCTCTCCATAATCCATGTCTGGGGTTAGAGTGGAGCCCTGCTGGCTCTCCATAATCCATGTCTGGGGTTGGAGTGGAGCCCTGTTGGCTCTTCATAATCCGTGTCTGGGGTTACAGTGGAGCCCTGCTGGCTCTCCATAATCCGTGTCTGGGGTTGGAGTGGAGCCCTCTTGGCTCTCCATAATCCGTGTCTGGGGTTAGAGTGGAGCCCTGCTGGCTCTCCATAATCCGTGTCTGGGGTTGGAGTGGAGCCCTGTTGGCTCTCCATAATCCATGTCTGGGGTTAGAGTGGAGCCCTGCTGGCTCTTCATAATCCGTGTCTGGGGTTAGAGTGGAGCCCTGCTGGCTCTTCATAATCCGTGTCTGGGGTTACAGTGGAGCCCTGCTGGCTCTTCATAATCCGTGTCTGGGGTTACAGTGGAGCCCTGCTGGCTCTTCATAATCCGTGTCTGGGGTTACAGTGGAGCCCTGCTGGCTCTTCATAATCCGTGTCTGGGGTTACAGTGGAGCCCTGCTGGCCCTCCATAATCCGTGTCTGGGGTTGGAGTGGAGCCCTGCTGGCTCTCCATAATCCGTGTCTGGGGTTGGAGTGGAGCCCTGTTGGCTCTCCATAATCCATGTCTGGGGTTACAGTGGAGCCCTGCTGGCCCTCCATAATCCATGTCTGGGGTTGGAGTGGAGCCCTGCTGGCCCTCCATAATCCATGTCTGGGGTTGGAGTGGAGCCCTGTTGGCCCTCCATAATCCATGTCTGGGGTTAGAGTGGAGCCCTGCTGGCTCTTCATAATCCATGTCTAGGGTTAGAGTGGAGCCCTGCTGGCTCTTCATAATCCGTGTCTGGGGTTAGAGTGGAGCCCTGCTGGCTCTCCATAATCCATGTCTGGGATTAGAGTGGAGCCCTGCTGGCCCTCCATAATCCGTGTCTGGGGTTAGAGTGGAGCCCTGCTGGCCCTCCATAATCCGTGTCTGGGGTTAGAGTGGAGCCCTGCTGGCCCTCCATAATCCGTGTCTGGGGTTAGAGTGGAGCCCTGCTGGCTCTCCATAATCCGTGTCTGGGGTTGGAGTGGAGCTCTGTTGGCTCTCCATAATCCATGTCTGGGGTTAGAGTGGAGCCCTGCTGGCTCTTCATAATCCGTGTCTGGGGTTAGAGTGGAGCCCTGCTGGCTCTTCATAATCCGTGTCTGGGGTTACAGTGGAGCCCTGCTGGCTCTTCATAATCCGTGTCTGGGGTTAGAGTGGAGCCCTGCTGGCTCTTCATAATCTGTGTCTGGGGTTAGAGTGGAGCCCTGCTGGCCCTCCATAATCCGTGTCTGGGGTTAGAGTGGAGCCCTGCTGGCTCTTCATAATCCGTGTATGGGGTTAGAGTGGAGCCCTGCTGGCCCTCCATAATCCGTGTCTGGGGTTAGAGTGGAGCCCTGCTGGCTCTTCATAATCCGTGTCTGGGGTTACAGTGGAGCCCTGCTGGCTCTCCATAATCCATGTCTGGGGCTGTTTGAGCTCTAGCTGTATCTTAAGCTGTAGCTGTAGCTGTTGCTGCTGCTGTCAATGATGAAGCATCATTGCTGCTGTCAATGATGAAGCTGGGAAAAGGGGAGGTGAGCTCTGGGTTTTCAAAAGCCATTTTTGTCTTTTTGGCAAACGCTGAAAGAGTCAAGTTTTGCTATGGACTTGTTTTCTCTTTAAAAACCAGTCAGGCATGTAGGGGGCAAATCCACGCATCAGCCTCATGTGCACTGAACTCCGAGGAGCAGCCAGGAACGAGGCCTGGTGTGTGGTGAGCAATTAGAGCTACAATTCTAGCAGCAGAGCATACAAAACCAAACCAGATCACCTCCAAACCTCCATATGCCTGACATCCAGTCTTGAAATCCTAGTCATTTTAGTCATCTGTGACTTCTTCAATCCCCGTTCAATTTGCATCTCATTCAAAGCACACCAAGTCCTCTTGCGTCAGCTGTTGCACTGCACCATGCAAGCATTTACAATTCCTGCTGCACCTCCGTTCCTGGTTTACATTTATCACAGTTCATAGAATGTTAGTTCCTTGGGGGCTGAGACCATGTCTTATCATTTGTTTTCCCCTTCCCCAGTATAGTGACTTTCATAGAGTAGAAATTAAAAATATATATTATCTGCCTAACATTTATGTCTTCCTAGACAACAATACTCATCTGGAGAAAGACTAGGAATCATACATAAATGTAAAACATAATGGAGCTATTCGGGAGATAGTAAAGGAGTGCAATTGTGTCTTTATTTCCTGTTTGTTTGGCATCTCCCATACCAAAAGACTGGGGGCCCCACCTCATGATTTCTTCCATAGTTTAGAGAAGATGCCTGCTTTTCTTGTGGCCAAGCCATGAGGGTCACTGCCCTATGGACGATGGAAGACATAACAGAAAGCAAAGAGGTGAGAGCCTCCCCTTCTTGCTCCAGTGGACACTGCGAGAAGGAAAAGAGAGAAATAGGGGAAGGAAACAGACCTGAGATTTTTGGCCCCCCAGCCCCACCCCCAAGCTTGAAATCCAAGACTGTGGATTAGGATTAGGGGTTGTTAGGTAGTCTTGGGGGAAAGCAAAAGCAAAGATTTTTTTTTTTTTTAACACGCCTTCCATTCCACGGTGGCATTTGTGAGATCAGCTTGCAGGCCCCACCACTAAGAGGGGGTAGCCATACTAAGAGTGAAAAATGCTCACATACGGTGGTGAGGCGGGGAGAGGCCTGTGTCAATGCTCCCGCAAGGGAGCATAGGTTCCCTATGGAAGAGCCCAGAGGTTCCTATGTACCCCTTGGGACATAGAGATGGTCATTGAGGCAAAAGCCAATGGGCCTCACATGCGGGATCCACGTTGAGGAATAGGGTGGTCTTAGGCTGGAGGGGTATGTAGCTGAGACTCAGAAGGTGTTGAGTCAGCAAGGGGGTGCGCTAGGCACTGACTGAACCACAAGGTCCACTGTGGAAATCATAAACCAATCAAATACCTGGCCAGCAACAGGAACCCACAAAGACCCAGAGGCCAGCACAGGACAAGCAAGAACTCCAAGGCTACTCCCCATCCACCCTGCTGCCATCTTGGGGAAGAACAGGGGGACGGGAGAGAAATCAGCACTTCTGAGCATTTGCCCCAGTGAGCCTCTCAAAACTGAAGTCAAATGAGTTACTGTTCATTGTCAAGTGCTCATGATCTTTACTTGCACTGTACAACAGGGAGAGGACTCTCAAGAAAGATTAGGCCAGTCATAGAACAACCTCCACATACTCTTTTTCACCTCTGAGCAGTTGTACATAAATTTGCCACTGCATTACATATCTTTATCAAGTATTTGGTCTTTCTTTATCTAAGAGTTCCTTAAAATATGGTCTAGTGTTATGACTACTCGTGACACCAAATAATTGGGGTGTCTTCAGAACTAAAAATTGATATCTAGTCTGGGTGGCTCACACCTGTAATTCCAGCACCGTGGGAGGCCAAGGTGGGCAGATCACTTGAGGTCAGGAGTTCGAGACCAGCCTGGCCAACATAGTGAAACTCCATCTCTACTAAAAATACAAGAAGTAGCCAGGCATGGTGGCCCGCTGTAATCCCAGCTACTTGGGAGGCTGAGGCAAGAGAATCACTTGAACCTGGGAGGTGGAGGTTGCAGCAAGCCGAGATCACACCACTGTACTCCAGCCTGGGTGACAGAGAAAGACTCTGTCTCAAAAAACAAACAAACAAACAAACCAAAAAGATATCGAGCAAATGGATGTGGTTCCAAGATAACAAGAAGTTTGAAAGAATACTTCAGCGTATGACATCATAAGAAGACAGGACATCTCGCTGCTTGACTTAGGCAAAGTCATGGTGGGGGTCCCCATGTGTAATGCACTAAGTCCCCTCAGGGATGTCTTCCACCCTCTTACTGTCCCCTGTGAATTGCAGCAAGATGGGTTCTAGAGAGAAAAGGAGGGCAAGGTGGCCTGGAAAGACAGGGAGCTCAGACAGAAGGGCAAGCTGATAAATACACCTATTTATCACTGCACAATCCTTGGTCTTTCTCGTCCTATTGATTTTCATGCTTTGCTGTATATGCTGCTGTGTCGGAAGGAATGCGTGTACTTGCAAACAACCTTGCAATGGAGTGATCACAGCTTCAGCAAAAGGCTTCAGGCAAAACCTCCCCTAACCCTAACTCGGCCTCTAGTCCCATTTTTCCACCACTGTGTGTGTTAGAAGGGGATGGGCCCTGTCTCCAGATCTTCAGTCATCATTATCTGGAAGGCCAGGTCTTTGCACATACCCATCTTGGAATCCTTGAGCTATTTCCCCTTATGTTTGATGAGTGAGTGAATGCATGAAAGGATGCATGCCAGCCTGGGCAACATGAGGAAGCCCCATCTCTACCAAAAACACACAAAAAATAGCCTGGCATGGTGGCACACTCCTGCGGTTGCAGCTACTTAGGGGGCTGAGGTGGAAGGATAGCTTGAGCCCGGGAAGCGGAGGTTGCAGTGAGCTGACATCACACCACTGTGCTCCAGCCTAGGTGACAAAGTGAGACCCTGTCTGAAAGAAAGAAAGGAAGAAGGAAGGAAGGAAGGAAAAGAAAGAAAAAGAAAAAAGAAAGGATACATGAGTGAGTCTAGGCAGAGGTGGTAGCCTACAGTTCTTAGAAAAAAAGAAATCCTTGTGGGCTTGATTTGACAGGGGAAAGGGTGAGAGGCATAGCAATCTGCCATAGAAGAGATTTGTTGGTTCCTGTCTTCTCCTAGCCTAAGAAGCAGATCTGGGGAAGACCTAGAGGACTCTGGGGTAGCCTGTGATCCTGTGTGACCATGAGAGCTCCAGGGTAGCCCAGAATTACTCCTGATCAAGAGAAGCCCCAAGAATTTGAGGTGGTTTCAGGGCAAATCAAGTTACTTCAAAGCACTCGGCTTCCACTTACTTGATAAAAACCTCAGAGGATTGTGTGACTGAGAGGAGGGTCAGGAGAGGTCAGGAGAGGAGGGGAGACCCTGCATACCGAGAACAGTTGTTTCCATGAAGGAGGCTAGCAGGGTATGAACATTTCTTAGGAGAAAATGTATCTGAGAACGAACAGGGGAGAGAGGTGAGAGGTGAAGGCTGGGAGCTAGAGAGGCAAGAGGGGCTGGTGGAGGGTTGGGATCAGAAAGGGGCATAGTTAAAGTGGGGAGGGAGAAGGCAGATGGCAAAGGAATACCAAAGCCTTTGCAAAAACACAGATGTGAAGAACCAAAAGATGGCCAGGTGCGGTGGCTCATGCCTGTAATCCCAGCACTGTGGGAGGTCGAGATGGAAGGATGACTTGTGCCCAGGAGTACAAGACCAGCCTGGGCAACATAGTGAGACCCCCATCTCTACAAAAAAATTAAAAAATTAGCTAGCTGTGGTGGCGCATGCCTGTAGAATCAGCTACTTGGGAGTCTGAGGTGGGAGAATTGCTTGACCAGGGAGGTCAAGGCTGCAATGAGCTGTAATTGCCCCACTGCACTCCAGCCTGGGTGACACAGAAAAATCCTGTCTGAAAAAAAAAAAACAAAACAACTCAGAAGGCCTTAAATCTCCAACACTACTCCCTACCTCACTCCACCTGTCTTTTAACAAGAAAATGGAGGCTTTGAGAGTTTCAACCAGTAGTTCAGCATCACACAAGCCATGGAGACAGGTCAGGGTCCAGGCCAGGACCACTGGCTCCTGGTGTAGAGCTCCTTGAGTCTTGTGCAACACCTCTGGACCTCCCAAAAAGAGACGGTTTGACTGAGAAAGTTGAGGAAGTGGCCTGAGCGAAGAAGATGGACCAGGACAATGAAGATGTCGGGAAATCCATACAACTTTGCCCACTAGGAATAGACAGCATTCAGTGAATAGCGTTCAGTCCTATTAAAGCTCCTGTTTGCGAGGAACTGGCAAACCATGAAGCTCTTCTTGACTAGAAGACAATTACTGATGAAAAAAATTAATGGAGGCCTATGCCTTTCCTCATGTATGAGCTCAGAGCAGCCATGAAAATCAAGAGTAGCTCTTCTGAAGCATCAGCAGAACTCCCTGAGCCTTCTCCTCACTCCCCACTGACAAAAAGAGACCCAAGTCTCCTCAACAGGATTCCAAGGGCAGGGTGAATGTGTGGTTGATGAAGGAAAGATTCCTTATGGCTTTAGACTGTACTGTTTCTGAGGGGGGAAACGTGTTTGCCTTTGGAACACGTGCTTTCTTTATTCAATCAAACGAAGAAAGCAACCTGAGCCTGATACAAAAACTCACAGAAGAGGCTCTTATTGTCTGAGACCAGAGGTCTAGAAGCCTCTTCCCTGGGGCCCCAGGAGAAAAAAGGTGGAACAAACATTAACGCTCATTCCTATGCCGCCTGGGTGTTACTGTGGGCTTCATGACTCAAGAAAAATCTAAGAGAGAGAGAGCGCTTTGTGAGTTTTCAGACTCAAAAGTTAGAGACTGCACGGACCAACCTGAGAGCAGGTGAGTCCGGTTAGGAGGGAGCAGAAGTGCTTTTGGAGGGTGCTCATTGCCGTGTTGTTACTCGTGGCGGGGAAACTGAAAGTCACCCAGAGTGTGTCACGGGGAAAGTGAAGAGGGAAAGCTGGCTAGAACAACACACGGCAATGTGGATGGATCATAAAGGCAGAGTGCTGGGTGGAAGGAGGAGGGAAAGAATGCACTATGTGAGACAACACCATTTAGGTACAACAAAAACACATGAAAATACCACCATATGGTTTGCAAGAAATATACAAAAGGATATATACTAAATCCATAATTGCCTATGGGGGGAAGGAGAATGGGAGGGGTGCATGGAAGAATAAACATAAATAATGAACACAAAAGCAGGCCCTGCACAGACCAAAGAGGACAGCATGCCTTTGTACTTGAGGTCCAAATGTGTAGGAGTGGAGGGGGACTCCAAGTAGGCCCTCCTTATAAAGATCTAAGTCTGTCCTTGTGAGATTCAGGAAAAATTCTAAGTAGATGCGTGCTCTAGGTTCTGTTGCTACTCTATGAAATCACCCTGATCCTTCAGGAAAGAAATCTACATGTGCCTGATGTGTAAGCTTGTGGGGCCTGAAGAGTCAGTGGGTCCGGAGGAGAGGGCTCACTTCTACCCACTGGCCGCTAAGATGTCATCCTATCTGGGGGCCTTTGGCTCAGAATTCCAGGTGTTGTGGGGGGGGTACGGGAAGGCGGCCTACACTGAGATAGCCACAGTAGGAGGAAGTGCTACTATCTACAAGAGAGGACGCCTGGCCAAGACACTGATGGAACTTTCTGATATCTCAGAAACAACTGTTATCTTCAAGAAGCAGGCAGTGGCCCCCGGCAAGCTCTTGTGGTGTGTATTATCAATGTGCAGGTGAGCCAACTGAGGCTTAGAAAGGTTAGGCAGTTTGCCCAATGTCACACAACTATCTAAGTGGCTGGGGCAGAATGTAAACTAGGTGTGTATGGCTCTAAAACCTGAGCTCTTTTTTGTTTGTTTGTTTGTTGTTTTTGCTTTTGTTTTTTTGAGACAGAGTCTCGCCCTGTCGCCCAGGCTGGAGTGCAGTGGCGCGATCTCAGCTCACTGCAACCTTTGCCTCTGGGTTCAAGGGATTCCCCTGCCTCAGCCTCCTGAGTAGCTGGGATCACAGGCGTGAGCCACCACACCCAGCTAATTTTTTTCTGTATTTAGTAGAGATGGGGTTTTACCATGTTGGTCAGGCTGATCTCAATCTCCTGACCTCAGGTGATCCACCCGCCTCGGCCTCCCGAAGTGCTGAGATTATAGGCATGAGCCACCACAACCAGCCAAACCTGAGCTCTTAACTGCCATTTTATAACGGGCCCAAAATGTCCATACACACACGTGCACACTGTCACATGCACACTTACCGGGGTATGTTGCAAAAGGTACATGTCATGAAATGAATTCATACTCTTGGAACTTCCATCCTGCTCTTGAGGCGCTGTGGAAGGGGATTCTCACGGGCAGACAAGGGCAGCTGGGATGGCCTCAGAGTTCCCGTGCAAAACCAACTAAAAGTGACAAGAAGGAGACAGACGGGGGGAGAAGCAGGGTAGAGGAAAAGGGAGGAGTTTCTCAGGGTGTGATGTGGCTTCAGAAATAGCAACTGAAGACGAACTTGGAGAAAAGCTTTGACGCAGACATGTCCTTGAGTGCAATTCCATCCGAGGCTGGAAGAGATGGAAAAAATGAAGGTCATCGGAAGAGTTCTGATGAACCCACTCTTATCTCTCATGCACCTCTCATGGCAAATGATGATGGTAGAAGAAGTGGTAAGATTTCAGAGTCTGAAGGGACACCCAGAGGTTGTCTCAGCCGATGCCTTGGAGGGCAGTGGAGAGGACAGTGACTTGTTCCAGGCCACACAAAGACAAGAACGGAGGCCTCTGGCTCCTAGGCCAGTGCTGGCCGACCTGTGCCAGATTGCTGTCCTCCTAAGTCAACTTGGATGGACAACACCCTCTGCCTACCCAGCAGGCCCTGTTCCTTCTTCTGCTCCTTCTCCTTCCAGTGTTTTATTCTTTCCAGGAGCTGTTTCTTCTCAGGAGTAGGATAAGAGGCAGGGAGGCCAAATACTGCCTCCCAGGACTAGAGGGCAAGTGCTCAGGGGAGAAGTTCTGGACAGATGGGCAATTTGGCCATGGTTGAACTCTCATGGCTTGCCTTCTTTTCCGGCCTCTTCCTTATGTATCCCTGTCCAACTTCTAAGCCCTCCCATTCTTTCATTTTAAACCTGAGGTGGGGAGCTGTGGCCTTAATTTTGAAAATTTGGTTGAGTTTCTTCTTCAGGGAGAGACCTGGACCCTGATGCAACCACAGCGGGGCCTCCCTCAGCAGGAGAACCAGAGTCTGTCTCAACAGATTTTCTTTCTTCCCTCTGAAGCAAGAGCCACTCCCAGAACACAAAAGACACAGAGACTCCTGTCTCCTTGGGGGATTTAATTACTGACATTAGCTGATATCCTCTTCAGTAGCAGCGTCTCTGCCTCACTGCTTCTGAAGAAGAGGGACGTGGAATTTAAATTCTTATCCAGGCTGGGTAGGAGACATTCCCCCACAGGCACACGGAGAGTGTAGGATAAGTGGCCACCTACACAGTTTCAGAGGCTCTGAGCCCCCGAACACAGCCACCATTCACTAGCAGATGCCTGAAGTCCACCACCCAAGTTTTTGCAGGTTATTGGACCGTTAAAATTCAAATATTCCTGGAAGGGATGATAGTGATGACCAGCCACTTGCAACTTGGTATAATTTATGTTCAGATCACACTCCAGAAGCATTTTTTAGAGGGACAGGGGCTGGCGGGGGGAGAAAATCATCGGATGACTGACGAGGGAAGGAAGTGAAGCAAGAGCAAGGTCCATAGATTAGAAGGGGAGAGCCCAGGAAGAGGCCGGGGGCTCAGAGGGTGAGCCTGGCCGGCCCTGCCAGCTGGCCTGGAGCAGTGGGTCTCCGTGTGGCTCCAGGATCAGCAGCACCAGCATGGCCTGGGGTCCTGTTAGACACGCAGATTCTGGAGCCCCCCTCCAGATCTACTGAATCAGAAACTGGGGGTGGGGCCAAGCAGTCTCTCCATTTTACCAAGCCCTGCAGGTGATTGATGCATAGTCAGGTGTAAGAACCACTGGCTTACAGCCCGTTCTGTGTGCAATACGTCACCAACCTCCCAGCTCCCCATCCCCGGCCACTCATCAAGCTCCCTTCTCTGACCTGCCTTACGACGACTCCTTGGCTTTGCTAGAGGGAGGCACGAGAAACCACCATGGGCGTGGTTAGGAGAGTGGCAAAGTAAAGCTCTTTAGCCGTGAAAGCTCTGTGGCATAGGAGATGGGCTGGTGACAGAGAACATGGCTGCCTTTGGCTATAAGGGCAAAGGGTTTGGGGCGGAGCTGGGGGAATAGCTGATGAGGTGAAATTGCAAGTGAAAACGAGTGATCATCCGAAGGAAGCCCCCCAGAGCAGCCCCCTGGGCCTCCGAGACACTCAGGCAGGGATTGTACTACGTGAGCAGGTAGAAAAACAGAGACAGAAGCCTGCTGAAGAAGGCTGAAGGACTGACTGGGGCCCCAGAGGGTGTGGGTTCTGAGCTGGGAGGTACCATGGGGTGGGCGAGCTCACCTCCTCCCTCCCTCAGCATTTCCTCCCTCTGGGTGCTCAAGATGCATTTCTTAAGCCAATTCATTTCCTGGTTAATCCCCACCCCCATCCCCAACTCCCACCCCAATGCTTGGCCCAGGTAACCCTTGTGGCAGAGACAAGAAGGAGATCCAGGGACTCTGACGGTGAAGGCTGAACGAGTCCTCTGCAAGCTGGACACTTCCTTACCTGGCTCTATTTTTCTTTACAGCACTTGTCAGCATCTGAAATACCACATGTTTTTTCTATTTCCTTCCACTAGAATGTGAGCTCCATGAGGGCATTGTATTAGTTCATTCTCACACTGCTGTAAAAGAAATGCCTGAGGCTGGGTAATTTATAAAGAAAAGAGGTTGGCTGGGGGAGGTGGCTCACACCTGTAATCCCAGGACTTTGGGAGGCTGAAGTGGGCAGATTGCTTGAGGTCAGGAGTTCAAGACCAGCCTAGCCAACATGGAGAAACCCCGTCTCTACTAAAAATACAAAAATTAGCTAGGCATGGTGGCACATGCCTGTAGTCCCAGCTACTCAAGAGGCTGAGGGCGGAGAATCGCTTGAACCCGGGAGGTGGAGGTTGCAGTGAGCTGAGATTGTGCTACTGCACTCCAGCCTGGGTGACAGAGCGAGGCTTCTTCTCAAAAAAAAAAAAAAGACGATGATTTAATCATGTGATTATAGATGACTTTCTCTTCTCTACACTTTGTCACTGTAGGGAACAAAGAAAAACTTCCTCTTTGCTCTCTGAAGGTTTGCTGACAATCAACTGACAAAAGGCAGATGAATCAGAGACAAAGACAGTACAAATTCATTGTACTGTGCGTAGCATGGGGGACTTGCAGGAGAATGATCACCCAATAACCCAATGGAATCCAGATGTTTATATAACTTTCTTCATAGGGGAGGGAGCAAATGGGAAATGTAGGTAATTCTTTCTTATTTTTTTCTGAATCTAATTTGAAAAGCCATGTTATTTCTTTTGAGGATCAATAAATTATTATTAGGGAGAATGAGTGGATCAAAAGTTAATCTGTAAATGATTCTCTTTGGAATGTGAATGACCCTGAGAGACAGATATCTGATGAAAAGGTCCATCCTGGTGTGGTTACATTCCTCAGCCTTCATCTCTGTCATAGACATTGAGATTTCAGGGAGGGGATGGGAAGCAATTGTTCTCCTTGGTGGGTCCAGTTTTTATGTAGCTAAGAAAAAACCCATTCCTGCATCTGCTGATCTCTAAGAGCCTTAATTCAAAATACTCATCATACTGCGGCAATGTATTTTGGTGTGAAATTATTCTGGTTTCCTCCACCACCATTCCAAAAGGGCTCCAGTGTAATTTAGTACAGTGTATTACAGCTGAGAGATTTGAAGACACAAATTCTTTCTAAAGAGGAGACAAAAATAAGGACAATAGGAATTTGAAGCAAGGCCCTTGGCCCCCTAAAGGCTTGCTGAAAACCATCATTGACATGAGGCAGATTGATTAATGGGAGAAAAGGCATACAGATTTATTTAATGTGTATACATGGGAGCCTTCAGAATGAAGACCCAACCTCCCAGTGATGTACAAAAGCTTGTATACCATCTCGAGGTTACCGATAGAATGGGGGCTTGCATCCTGATCAAACAGGCTATGGTAGCGGGCAGAAGAGGAATTCTCTTGAGAGGATTACTAGGAAGAGTGAATCGATTCAGGACTCTGAGACAGTCACTGTACCTGTAACGTGTCTGTTCAGGTGTGCTTAGGTTGTTGGACTCATTTTCCACAGTAGATAGGCAGATAAAGGAACTTCAAGTTATATGGCAGAGAAAGTGATGAGGGAGGTCAGAGAGACCTGGAAGCTTCTTCAGCTCAGCATGTCAAAATGCCGTATTTTGGGGTATTGGTTTCTAAGCCCCAGCATACAGAAAACATTATACATGGCCCAACTTCTAGCCAGATTAACATAAATCTCACACTGATGGGCTATTTACATCAGTTTCTATTACTCAATTACATCATTTTTGGCTTTCAAAAAATGTTATAAGCTATGCTAAAAGGCAAGAAAAAGCAAAGTCTGAAGAAATGAGCAAGCACCAGAACCAGATCTGGATATGATGCAAATGCTGGAATGATCAGACAGGGAATTTAAAATGACTATGATTAATACATGCAGGATTCTACTGCAAGGACATAGAGTTAATGTAAGCTCAGAGATGGAAACTCTAAGAAAGAATCAAAAGAAAACACTAGAAATTGGCTGGGTGCAGTGGCTCACGCCTATAATCCCAGCACGTTGGGAGGCCGAGGAGGGTGGATCACGAGGTCAGGAGATTGAGACCATCCTGGCTAACATGGTGAAACCCATAAAAAATTAGCTGGTCGTGGTAGCACACACATGTAGTCCCAGCTACTTGGGAGGCTGAGGCAGGAGAATCGCTTGAACCCAGGAGGCAGAAGTTGGAGTGAGCTGAGATGGCGCTACTGCACTCCAGCCTGGGTGACAGAGCAAGGCTCCATCTCAAAAAGAAAAGAGAAGAAGAGAAGAGAAGAGAAAAGAAAAGAAAAAAAAGTTTAATTGGCTCATGGTCCTACAGACTGTACAGGGAGCATAGTGCTGGCATCAGCATCTGGTGAGGGCCTCAGAAAGCTTTTAATCACAGTGGAAGGTGAAGCAGGAGCTGGGTGTCACATGGTGAGAGTGGAAGCGAGAGAGAGAGGGGGCAGGTGCCACATGTTTTTAGACAACCAGATCTCATGAGAACGCACTCACCGCCTCTAGGACAGCACCCAGCCATTCATGAGGGTCCACCCACGAGACCCAAACACCTCCCACCAAGCCCCGCCTCCAATATTGGGATTACATTTCAACATGAGATTTGGAGGGGACAGTCATCCAAACTATATCAGGCATTATCGACTACTCTATCTGCTTTATTTACCAACCAGTCCCCAAGGGCCTAGGACAGGGCTGGCACATAGTAAGCACTCAATAAGTATAAATTTTTAAAAAATGAATGAATCTTAAAGTCATTCCAACCTTAAACTTTGCTCCTTGTCTATCAACATTTCTGCTAATATAAAAATGATTTTTCTCCAAATGGTAGAGTAAAAATCAATGTCTCGTGTCTTCCACAAAGCTGGGGTTTCAAATGACTGCATACATCACAGCTCCAGGCACCACCAGAGCAAAGCTTCCCTAGGATCAGGCAGCAAGGATGAAAGAGGATGGGGCTGTGAGGGCCAGGGCCCCTTTGTGGAGGAAGAATCAGTTTACAGAGGCTCATGTCTCCGTTCAGCCAGATGAGTGTTTCTGGGAGGTGGGAGAACAGAAAAGTTACAATCAAGTGTTAAGATGATGTCAACAAACTTGTCTACCCAGTGCCTGGCCCAATAAGGTTATCAAAATCTCCATTTCAATCTGAACTCCAGTGAAATTTTGATGAACAAGATATTCAGGGAACATTCCTTGCAAGACAAGGCTCTCCTTGACCTCAGGAACAGAGCCTTAGTCCCTTTGTTCTAGTACTGGGCACAGGATGTACCTAGAAAGCCCTAAATGAATGCCTGATGAATGAAAAATATTCATTTCAATTCATTTTTTTCTGATACGAAATTATATTTCAGGCCTTGTCTTTAAAAGTCATTCTAAGATGTATTCAGTAACATTTTTACATTAGCAAGTGAAGAGTACTGACTTCCTTGCATCTTCCCATGAGCATAAAACGTCACGCAAATGGCCATTTGCAAGCACCCTGACTCTCCCTGATCATGTGTCACTGTGGGAGGCTGTGGGCAGGATGCAAAAGGGGTATGAGATTGAATTTATTTTAATCCCCAGAAATCATGGACCATTAAAAGTATCTCTTGATACCTTTTTCCACAGCCTAATTTGACACATGGAGAACCCAAGGCTGAGAGAAGGGAAGCGGCTTCCCCAGGGCATTCGGTATGTGAAGGGCATCATCAGAACTAGAATCCTGGTCTCTTGACTCCCAAGTTCAACACTTTTTCCATTTTGTAGATTCATCTCTATCTCCTAAGAGTAAAAGGCAGGAGAAATTCAGATTAATTCATGTTTAAATTCTATACTAAGGTAAAGAGATATCAGTTTGTCTATAAGGATATGTTTATTGAGATTCTACTTTATATGGTACTCAGTTAGTACTATCTTTGTTACTACAGGGTAATAAGATTAAGCATATACAAAGTTGTTCCTATCCATTGCATAATGCTATCAATAATAATAGTAAGTTTCCATTTTTTGTCCCTGCTTATTTAGTCCCTGCTTATACGCCTTATAGGTATTACCACGAGTAATTCTCACAACAGCCTGATACAATATATTTCTGTATTAAGCCTCTTTGGGTTGCTCATGACAGAAACCCAACTCAAACAAGCTTAAGAAAAAAAGGAATTACTGGTGCACATGAATGAAAACATCAGGAGTTGTCCGGTTTCCGCCCAGGCTGGCTCCACGGGCTCAGGTAACGTCAGAAACCTCTCTGTCTCCCTTCATTTCCACTATGTTAGCGTCACTCTCCAGTATGTTCTCTCGTATATTGGGAAAGATGACCCCCAGTAGCTCTGGATTTCATGAACTTTACATCTTATGACAGAGTCTCGCTCTGTCACCCAGGCTGCAGTGCAGTGGTGCAATCTCGGCTCACTGCAACCTCCGCCTCCCAGGTTCAAGCAATTCTCCTGCTTCAGCTTCCTGAGTAATTGGGATTACAGGTGCCCACCACCATGCCCGGCTAATTTTTGTATTTTTAGTAAAGACAGGTTTCACTATGTTGGCCAGGCTGGGCTTGAACTCCTGACCTCAGGCGATTCGCCCACCTCAGCCTCCCAAAGTGCTGGGATTACAGGTGTGAGCCACTGCGCCCGGCCTTTTTTTTTTTTTTTTTTTTTTTTTTCTGATGGAGTCTCTCTCTGTCGCCAGGCTGGAGTGGAGTGGTGCGATCTCCACTCACTGCAACATCCACCTCCTGGGTTCAAGAGATTCCCCTGCCTCAGCCTCCCAAGTAGCTGGGACTACAGGCACACACCACCACGCCCAGCTAATTTTTTGTGTTTGTTGTTGTTGTTTTTGAGACAGAGTTTCACTCTTCTTGCCCAGGCTGGAGTACAATGGTGTGATCTTGGCTCACTGCAACCTCCGCCTCCCAGGTTCAAGCGATTCTCCTGCCTCAGCCTCCCGAGTAGCTGGGATTACAGGCACGCGCCACCACACCCGGCTAGTTTCGTATTTTTAGTAAAGATGGGGTTTCTCCATGTTGGTCAGGCTGGTCTCAAACTCCCGACCTCAGGTTACGCCTGCCTCGGCCTCCCAAAGTGTTGGGATTACAGGCGTGAGCCACTGCGCCTGGCAATTTTTTGTATTTTAGTAGGACAGGGTTTCACCATGTTGGCCAGGATGGTCTTGATCTCCTGACCTCATGATCCGCCCGCCTCAGCCTCCCAAAGTGCTGGGATTACAGGCGTGAGCCACCGCTCCCCAGGCTATGTCTTATGATTTTAGAAGGAGAGAGCCCTATTTTGACCCAGCATCCACATTTCCCCTCCTCACGAATCTTGACTGAGCATCTTTGGGTCTTGTGAGCGTGTCTTCATCAATTATTGTGTCTAGGAGAATTGGGATATTTTGATCAGCCGCTCTCTAGGGTGGGGGTGGAGAGTTTCTTTTATCAGTGGAATGAAAGAAGGGCAATTCATAATCCCATTCTACATAGGATGAAGTGGAAATTCAGAGAAATCAAGGACTGGACCATAATTGCCTAAAGGCCAGACGGCCTGTTAAGGGCAAAGCTGGGACATAAACTAGTTGTCTCCAAAGCCTATTTTTAAAATTTTTCCTGTTGTTGTCATTGAGCAGGGGAAGGACTCATTCACATACCTTAAAATTCACCGTTTTAAAGTGTGTAATCCAGTGAAAACCCTGTTTAATCAACAGGCCAAGTGTTTTCAACTTCGGTGTGATCACTGTTCACTTGTGAAGTATGTGGTAAGCAATGTGTTGCTATTAATAGCTGAATTACCAAAGTTATTAGAATGATTTACTTCAAAAAATGGAAATCAGAATTAACAAAAGATTACCCTGTTCATAATGCCATCCCCATTTCCAGGCCGGGCTTGTTGGCTCCGCCTGTAATCCCAGCGCTGTGGGAGGCCGAGGCGGGTGGATCACCTGAGGTCAGGAGTTCGAGACCAGCCTGGCCAACATGGTGAAACCCCGTCTCTACTAAAAATACAAAAAATTAGTCAGGCATGGTGGTGGGTGCCTGTAGTCCCAGCTACTCAGGAGGCTGAGGCAGGAGAATCGCTTGAACCTGGGAGGCGGAGGTTGTAGTGAGCTGAGATCACACCATTGCACTCCAGCCTGGGCGACAGAGCGAGACTCTGTCTCAAAATAATAATAATAAAACAATGCCATCCCCATTTCCTTGAACTCTGATGTCCAGCACAGCTCCTGCCTAGAGGCGTTGGCACCCATTTGGAGTGGTTCCAAGGAGAAAATGGCAGAGCACGTGACACAGCCTGCCATAAAGCTGTCTCCATCACAAGACAGAATGGGTAAGCACCCCAAGACAGTACAGAGTGTTCCAGGAAAACTACTTAGAAATGGCAAATCAGTTCAGCAACGTTTCAGATTATAAGAAAAAAATTAAATCAATACACCGTTTCTAGAGTCCAGTGATGAAGACTAGAAGGAAATGCAATAGAGAGAGCTCATTCCCTGAAGAATCCAAATCATTAAGTATTTTGCAATTCACGTAAAAGGACATGAAGAATGCATTCAAAGAAAATTACAAACCTCTAATAGAAAAATAAAAACGAATAAATGGAGCTTCTGCCTGGGAAGATTCTACATGGTAAATGGCACATTCAATCTGCAGTGTAAAAGCTCATGCAACCTGACCATGCCATCTGCTGTAGAAGGAGGGAGGTGACACTCTTGCTGTCCCCTGAGCTGATCACAGCACACTCCAAGAAAGACCTAGACAAACTCAAACAAGGTGGGACCAGGGGTGGAGTCGGGGGAGCAGGCTGGCAACAGACCTGGAAGCCAGTCACACAACACAAGGAATGAGCTGGTTGAATCTGGGCATTAGAGAACAGGAGGCATTTTTTGCAGGTAAGAGGAGATTTAGGGGCAGGGTTGAAGGGTTGTGGTATGGAAGAAGTATTAGATTTGCCCTATGGAGCAACAGTGAGTAAAAATGACAGGAAAAGAGATTTCTGTCTCAAACAAAGTAGCAACTTTTTGGAAGTCAGAAGTGTCATTGATCTAAATTAAATGACGCTATGAAGCAGGCAGAGTAGGCGATATTATCACCCCCAACAAAAAGATGGGGAAAAGGTCCAGCAGGCAGAAATGACTTGTCTATCATCACCCAGGAGGGGCATATGAGGCTGTGGACACCCCCTGTGCTGTGTCCAGTGCCCCAGGCTGCTTCTGGAGCCAGCACTGAGCTTCCACAGATGTGGCAAAACAGGTGTGAACAGCCGGCAGTGCCCTTCTCCTCTCCCAGCAAGAAAGTCACAAGAAAACTACCAAAGTCAAAGGATGACGAGCAACTCTGAATATTCTGGGGAAAGAAGGATCAGGCAAGGACCAGTGATTCCCTACGGGAAAGTAATGACTTCTGACTGGAAGCTCCTACCAGGAATTTCTGACAGGAGACCAGGGATTTCTGACAGGAGACCAGGAACTTCTGACAGGAGACCAGGGACTTCTGACAGGAGACCAGGGACTTCTGACAGGAGACCAGGGATTTCTGACAGGAGACCAGGAACTTCTGACAGGAGACCAGGGATTTCTGACAGGAGACCAGGGACTTCTGACAGGAGACCAGGGATTTCTGACAGGAGACCAGGGACTTCTGACAGGAGACCAGGGACTTCTGACAGGAGACCAGGGATTTCTGACAGGAGAGTAGTGGTTTATGACAGGAAAACAGGGATGTCTGATGGAAAATGTTGGCCTCCAGTGGGCTATGCATGGAGCTCTGACAAGAAAACAAGGATTTCTGAAAGAAACTGATTTTTCTCAGGACGGTGATTTCTAAAAGCAAAGTAGTGATTTCTCAGCCAGGCACAGTGGCTCATGCCTGTAATCCTAGCACTTTGGGAGGCTGAGGCGGGTGGATCACTTGAGGTCAGTAGTTCGAGACCATCCTGGCGGACATGGTGAAACCCCGTGTCTACTAAAAATACAAAAATTAGCCGGGTGTGATGGTGCGTGCCTGTAGTCCCAGCTACTCGGAGGCTGAGGCAGGAGAATCGCTTGAATCTGGGAGGCGGAGCTTGCAGTGAGCCAAGATCGCGCCACTGCACTCCAGTCTGGGAGACAGAGTGAGACGCCACCTCAAAAAGAAGAAAGAAAGAGAGAGAGAGAAAGAAAGAAAAAGAAAGAAAGAGTGATTTCTGATTTCTGACAACAATGATTTCTGACAAGAAAACAGGTTGCTGATAGGAGAGCGTGAATTTCTGACAGGACGCTAGTGTCCACCACGTAGCAAAGGGGTTATTCCTGACAGGACGTCTTCCACAGGAATGAGGGTTTCTGTTAGGAAGGACCAAAAGCAGCAGCACAGAACAAACTGAAAAATAACAGGAGGGAATGAGACCCCTTCAGGAAATAGCTTCTTGGGTGTGGAGGGAGGTCCTCAGGAATAAAAAGCCGGGTTGGGGGAGGCTGAAATTGGGGAAGACCTGGGGTCCAGTATCTCCTCTGGCAGAGTGGGGCTGAGTGGGCTGGAGGGAGAGTATCTAGAAGATTTACAAAATAGGTGTGAGCGTAGGTGACTAGGAAATACATTCTCATCGAGAGGCTTGCAGGAAGGGGGAGGGAGGGAGGAGAGGGAAATCGGGTCCTTCTTCAATCCCCTAGACCCAGAGGTAACAAAGCCTTGGTTTTTACTCAGCAAATTCAAAGGCAAGCTTTTGCCCTCTGAATGTATCGCCAATTCTTAGCAAAGGGGACAGGGCAATAGAGAAGTGATGTCATGAGGCTGTAGTTCTGAGGTTATCCGGGAACCAGGTCGGAGCCTGCTTGCAGAGAATGTAGCATCGTGGCAGAGAGGAAAAGGAACTAAGGGAAGCGGAAGTATCAGTAAGGAGCCTCCGACAGAAATGGTAGGCTGGCAACATCCTGATCAGCAGCAGAAGTGATTTTCCCGTGTCCCCGTGTCCCTGCTCACCACCCACGCTCCCGAGAGCTCCCAGGCCAGGCCTCACAGGGCTCCTTCCCTGTGGGAGCGGAGGTTTGCCGCGAGCCATCGCCCGGCACGGGACACGTCTCAGGGGGAAGGAACACGTTTTCTCTCAGACTGAGCGCTCGCTGACCCCGGCTCCCAGGCACCACGTCTACCACGTGACTGGATTCCTGCGGCCGCCGCGAGCCGGGAGAATTCTAATAGCGCAGATGCCCGGAACCGCTGCAGCAGCCCGAGCCGGAAGTGCCAGACTCCTACTTCCCACCGGATGCGGGGCTCGGCAGGCTCGGCAGGCTCCTCCGCAGGCCACACAGCCGGCGGCACAGGCCTCCTGCGGGGAACCCCACCCCACCGGCCAGCCCGGTGCTCTGCCCTCTCTGGGGGTCCCGACCACTGTCTCCCTCCACACCCAAGAAGGGGAGCCTGGTCTTGTCTTTCCAGCTGCCCCCACCTGTCCTCCCTCTGGGGCTTCCTTTCCATCTGAACTGGATTCAGAGGACACAGAGTTCCCCAGCTTTCTCCGCTTTTGATGCCCTATCTGGTCCTCAAGCTGTTTTTGTTTTGTTTTGTTTTGTTTCGTTTCGTTTCGTTTTGTTTGAGATGGAGTTTCGGTCTTGTTGTCCAGGCTGGAGTGCAGTGGTGCAATCTTGGCTCACTGCAACCTTCGCCCCCTGGGTTCAAGTGATTCTCCTGCCTCAGCCTCCCGAGTAGCTGGGATTACAGGCATGCACCACCACACCTGGCTAATTTGTATTTTTTTTTTTTTTTTTTTAGTAGAGACGGAGTTTCTGCATGTTGGTCAGGCTGGTCTCAAACTCCCAACCTCAGGTGAGCCGCCCACCTTGGCCTCCCAAAGTGCTGGGATTACAGGCGTGAGCCGCCGCGCCTGGCCCCTCAAGCTGTTTCGTGGCTGCCAATGCCAACTGGGAAAAAGACACAGTGGTAGAAAGAATTAGAGATGAGACGCAGACTTGAGAATTCTTTTCAAATTCAAGAGCAGTAGTTTGTCTCAGGAGATGCTGGTCCTGTCTCACTGTGAGAATCCCTATCATAGACCTTCCCGGGCAAAGCCCTTTCCCGGGTTCCTGTCTGAGGAGGGAGGTGAAGCCTCTTGGGTCCTCAAGCAGCGATTCTTACCCTTTCCCTGCCTGGGTCACTGCCCATCCACAGCTTCCCGGGGAGAACAGTGACGGGAACTAGCTGACCGCTCGGAGCCTCCAGGCCAGTCCCTTTCTGTGAAGACTCACAAGGCCTTACTCGTTGCGTAACATCCCAAAGCCGTAGTTACGTCATCTGTAAAATGGAGATAAAAATCCCACTTCACATGGTTGTTGGGGTGATTAAAGGAGATAATATAGGCCAGGCATGGTGGCTCACACCTGTAATCCCAGCACCTTGGGAGGCCGAGGCAGGCAAATCACCTGAGGTCGAACCCTGAGGTCGGGAGTTTGAGACCAGCCTGACCAACATAGAGAAACCCCGTCTCTACTAAAAATACAAAATTATCTGGGCGTGGTGGTGCATGCCCGTAATCCCAGCTACCTGGGGGGTTGAGGCAGGAGAATCACTTGAACCTGGGAGGCGGAGGTTGCAGTGAGCTGAGATCATGCCATTGCACTCCAGCCTGGGTGACAAGAGCAAACCTCCATCTCAAAAAAAAAAAAAAAAAAAAGAGGAGATAATATATAAAGTACCTGGCACCCAGCAGGTATGATAAATTGGTCCCCTTATTTCTGCTGATGCAGGAAAGCAGAACGCTTGAGAGCAAGGCTGTGGCGGGTGAGGCTGTTCAGTGTGTGCCTGTCTGTTCAGCAGCTGGGTGGAGGCTGAAATACCACATGCC
This sequence comes from Homo sapiens, assembly GCF_000001405.40. Classification (NCBI taxonomy): domain Eukaryota; kingdom Metazoa; phylum Chordata; class Mammalia; order Primates; family Hominidae; genus Homo; species Homo sapiens. The sequence goes on from NC_000003.12 coordinate 197,458,334, forward strand.
CTCCACTCACCCTGTCAAGTGCCGAGGGTGGGGCATTCTGCACAAAAGCTTTGTCTCTCCTGCACACAGGCACCCTAAGGCTGAGATTCTGCACAAAAGCTTTGTCTCTCCTGCACACGGGCACCCTAAGGCTGAGCAGCACTCTCTGCCGGGTGACTGCGCCAGCGCCCAGACCACCTGCTGGAGAAAGAAAGCATGGCACGTTGAAGGCAAGCATTTGTACTTTGCTCTTTCCTCACAGTTAGACCAGGCTCCCCTCCTCTCCCGCTTGTCCTCAGAGGCCTTGGTGAGGTGGAGAACGGCTGCCATTGTGATGGGTTCCCCTTTTCTCATTGCGGGGGGTCCCTTGAAGGGGGTTGGCCTGCCTGCATTTGGGCTCTGGTAACCACTCTTCTTCCTAGCAGGCTTCCCATTGGGGCAATTTGCAGGGTCCTAAACTCAGAACCTCTACCTTTACATCCAGGGCCCCCAAGAGGCTCTCTTTAACATTATGGACAAACAGCCACACAGGGCCTTTTTTCCCCAGGAAGAAAAGACCAAATGGAGCTCAAGGCCCAGCTGTCCTGGGAGTGGTGCCTCAGCCGTGGCCCTCTGGGAAGGGGTTTCTGTGCAGGGCTGCCCTGAGGGTTACCCTTTTCCATCTTCATTTCTATCTCACATAGTAGGCAAGACAACAGACAGGATTCAGACAAGATTACAGCTCCAAGGGTTGATCTGTGTATTTCCCTTGCACGCTGCTCTCTTGCTGGCACCGAAGGGCACCCCAGTCCAGACTGGTCAGAAACAAACACTCACAGAACCCACAGAGCCAGGGCTAGACACAAAGGCCAGGCAGTGTGCTTGCAAAACGAGACTTTCCTCTCCCAAAGACTAGAAAAAACTAGGCTTGCAGAAGCAGGAAGAGGCCGCTGGACCTGGACGGGAGGACGACACCTGGATTACTGGGTGTGGCGCCTTCCACCAACAGTGCTGGCCACATGTGAACAGCACCTGGTAGCCTTGGAGGCTGTGAGTAGGGATTGGGGTCAGGAGGGGTGCGGTCAGGAGGGATGTGGTCAGGAGGGGATGTAGTTAGTGGGGATGCAGTCGGGAGGGGATGCAGTTAGTAGGGATGCAGTGAGGACGGGTGTGGTCAGGAGGGATGTGGTCAGGAGGGGATGCAGTTAGTAGGGATGTGGTCGGGAGGGATGCAGTTAGTAGGGATGCGGTCAGGAGGGATGCAGTTAGTAGGGATGTGGTCGGGAGGGATGCAGTTAGTAGGGATGTGGTCGGGAGGGATGCAGTTAGTAGGGATGTGGTCGGGAGGGATGCAGTTAGTAGGGATGTGGTCGGGAGGGATGCAGTTAGTAGGGATGTGGTCGGGAGGGGATGCAGTTAGTAGGGATGTGGTCGGGAGGGATGCAGTTAGTAGGGATGCGGTCGGGAGGGGATGCGGTTAGTAGGGATGTGGTCAGGAGGGGATGCGGTTAGTAGGGATGCGGTCGGGAGGGGATGCGGTTAGTAGGGATGTGGTCGGGAGGGGATGCAGTTAGTAGGGATGTGGTCAGGAGGGGATGCAGTTAGTAGGGATGCGGTCGGGAGGGGATGCAGTTAGTAGGGATGCGGTCGGGAGGGGATGCAGTTAGTAGGGATGCGGTCGGGAGGGGATGCAGTTAGTAGGGATGCGGTCGGGAGGGATGCAGTTAGTAGGGGTGCGGTCGGGAGGGATGCAGTCAGGAGGGGATGCAGTTAGTAGGGATGTGGTCAGGAGGGATTCAGTTAGTAGGGGTGCGGTCAGGAGGGATGCGGTTAGTAGGGATGCGGTCGGGAGGGGATGCGGTTAGTAGGGATGCAGTGAGGACGGGTGTGGTCAGGAGGTGTGTGGTCAGGAGGGGTGCGGTCAGGAGGAAAAACCTCACCCGGAGCAGAACCAGGTGTTCATGTCTCTATATAATTGGAGCCGTGATGGACGCTACTCTCCTGAGAGGCCTGACTGTGGTGGGAGTGCTCTCCTGAAACCAAGCAGTTTCCAATGGCAGAATCCTTTAGAAAACAGTAGAACTGTGGGAGCTCCAAAAGCAGATCTCATGAAGGTAGAAAAGAGAATGGTGGTTACCAGCGGCAGGGAAGAGTAGAGGGAGGGGGAGGATGAAGGGGACAAAAAGAATGTAAATGTATTACCACTGAACAGTACCCTTAAAAATAGTAAACATGGTAAATTTTAGATGTCTATTTTACCTCAAAAAGAAAATGCTGGAACAATTTCAGCCAAAAAATAAAAACCCTCAATTCATGAGCACAAAATAATTTAGTTTCTCAGGTGACTGGAATTTTTTTGTACTATTTTTAGGAAGAAGACCTTAATAAGAAATCAAAAACAAATCAAGGGTTTATTTTTTAAAACAACAAAATACCAGCAGCTTCCAGGGACTCCCCTGGAGTCCACACATGGCCGGTGCAGTCCAACCCCATTACACGTTTATGAAAGAACAATGGATGTTCAGAAGGATGACCCTTGAATCGCTAGGTCATCGAATAAAGTTTCTCTTCACTCAGTTGCCAGAATCCCTATTTCCTTTGCATTATAGTGAAGTGGAGCCTGGTCGTATTCCTAAATTAACTACAAGCTCCTTGAAATAGATTTTTCAAGAATTCTAACATCTTTCGGACAAAGGTGACACTGTGTATAAATTTAATGTATTGAGCATCCAGAAATGGTTTGGTCTTTGAGAGGAACCTCATGAGGCCGCATCCTGTAGATATTTGATGGGGATGGGTCATGATGGTGGTTCTCAACTGGGGCGGGGTCATTCCCCTTCGTCCCGGGAGCATGTGGCAACGTATGGAGACCTTTTTGATTGATATAATTGGGATGGGGAGTGGGATGCTACTGGCATCTAGTCGATAGCGGCCAAGGGATTCTGCTCAATATCCTGTAATGCACAAAACAGCCCTTCACAACAAAATTATATGACCAAAATGTCTAGAGTGCTAAGGTTGAGAAACCATGGTTCATGGTAACTCCAAAAGGTGAACCCCAGTGGAGACCAGTAGGGCGGTTGCTCCAGGGCTACTCAGAGGCCTCAGGGCCACACTCAGAAACCTACCCTGTCATCCACCACCTGGGTATTTTTTTTAACTCAAAAAAATGTCACCTTACTCGTCTTCTTAGGATGGTTCTAGGATCTAAAGCCAGGACATCCATCTGCAATGAAATACAACCTTCAGATGTCTGGCTGCTCTATGCTGGCAACAGGGATGCTCAGCGGAGCCGAGAGTAGAGCGTAAGGAGTTAGTTACATGAGTCACATGCCGCCTGATGAACCCAGGTCTACCAGGACTTGGGCTCTACTGGGAGGGCACTGCCAGTGCTCACCTGGGTGGTACTACCTCTTCTAAGTTTCTGCTGGTAACCAAGGTTCTTGTGACCAGTCTTCTTGCTTTGGATGTGTTAATGTTTGCCTGACTTCCACCTGGAGTCAGAGCCCACCTAAAATGATTGCATTGCTTGGCTCTTATCCATTTATTATGTTTATATTTTATAGTTTAATACAGGAATTCCCTGATCTGAGAGCAGAGGGAGTGATTTTGAGAAGCCACCTAATCCATGAGTGTCTAGAGTATCTGTAAGCAAACATAGTACATGCTAATCTGGTACCACTGTTTGTCAAAAATATTCATATGATGTGGCAATTTAAAGAGTAGTCATAATTCCTAATAGTTTGTTGTCAATATGTATTTCTTGGTCACAAACACTAAAAGTATAAATATGATCATGTGGAAATGGGTCTGGAAAATATTTTGAGGATAAAAGCAGGATTTAGGCCAGGTGCAGTGGCTCACGCCTGTAATCCCAGCACTTTGGGAGAACGAGGTGTGAGGCTCACTTGAGCTCAAGAGATCAAGACCAGCCTGGGCAACATGGTGAAACCCCATTTCTACAAAAAATACAAAAATTATCCAGGCATGGTGGCGGCCGCTTGCAATCCCAGCTACTCGGGAGGCTGAGGTGAAAGGATGGCTTGAGCCCAGGAGACGGACGTTGCAGTGAACTGAGATCACACCACTGCACTCCAGTCTGGGCGACAGAATGAGACCCTGTCTCAAAAAAAGAAAAAAGAAAAAGAAAGAAAGAAAAAGAAAAAAGGAGGATTTACACTGGAAAAAGTTGGGAACCACTGGTTTGACTCTCAGAAGGTTAACTTTCATATTTCCTAGTTCTCGAGCAGGGAAGCCCAGCACCCCGGGGTTGCCGCCCCCACCCCCCATGGCATGTGTCTGCTTGCTCTACCCCAGGGACAATCTTAACTCCTTGTATTGGTGTGCTTTACCGTTTCCAAAACATTAAGGAAGGCAGAACAGAGGCTACCACTTCTATTCAGGGATGAGGATGGGACTTGGGCAGCTGATTTGTCTCAGGGTCTATGGCCAGCACAGCTGGAGCCAGGGCCCCAAACTCTGACGTGGGACCCAGAGCTCTTTCCACTCCCCCGAATTAGTAATGGAGCCCTTGGGGGGTCTCGGAGCCACCAAATACCAAACTCTACTCCACAGCAACTAGTGGATGAAGAGAGCCAGGAAGTATTTAAGAGCTTTCAGGAACTAGTCATTTTACGTCCTTCTGAATCCCAGTTAGTTCATGAGAATTTCACGAAGGTAAAGGCGACAGAAAGCAATGAACAAGCCCACGTTCGGTTGCCATGGAAACCCGTGTTTACCTTTGGGTTCATATTTGGTACAATTTCCTGAAATTCCCAATGAGGATTTCAGGTGATCTGGGGGTTCTCTGAACCTCAGTCTCTAAATCTGAAAAGTAAAAAAACACTGAACCAGATTATGTATTTCTGGGTAATTTTACCTTTGACATTCTATTAGTCTAAAGAACCAGATTATATATTTCTGGGTAATTTTCCCTTTGACATTCTATTAGTCTAAATCTGTGGGTTCTATCAGCGTCATCAGAGGGAGAACTCTGTAAAACAATGTTTTCTCTTTTTTCAAGAGACATCTATTCGTTCATTCATGTGTTGATTCAACAAGCATTGATTGCATATAAGGCACTGTACTAGGCTCTGTGCAGATTATAGGCTTGAAAACAGAAAAAGCCCATTGAATACGCCCATGTAGCTAACCTCTATAAGGAAATCAAGAAAAACAAGAAAGTCATTATGACTAGCTTACCTTTGATGCTTTAAACCACTTCTGATAAAAAGTTAAGGACTTTTATATTGGAATGTAAAATATGTAGACTAAGAAAATTTCCTGCAAGTGAGTCAAAAATTCTCTGAATTACAACAGGCTCTCGAATGGCTATAAAGTTTAGAGAAAACTAGTAATACAATACCTTCAGTTTTTTGTGATGAGAATCTAAAATCTTATCATAGAAGCTTCAAAACAGTTTCCAGTACAACTGATCCAAGGGCAGGGAAAAAATATTTGTTTGATTTAATCTAGAGTCTAGAATTGACTGCTGTTCATTAAGGAACTTTCTTTCTTTCTTAAAGAGAACTTTTTTATACAGTACAATTTCATTAGTTACATAATATCTTTTCATTTGATCAAAAAGTAACTACATTTTATTTCTAAGAGAGATGGAATTGATTTGGCAAATGGAAACTAAGAAATATTTCTAGATGGATATTTTGGCTTTTACTATTACACGGAAGATGACAAAATTAGGCAGGAAATTATAAAAGTCTGCAGCTCAAAGAAGGAAATTACTTGTGTGGTATCTGTGGGAGGATTCACCGGGGTGCTACCAGCACAGATAAAGTGAGGGGCTTGGCCAGATTTTTTCTTTTCTTTTCTTTTTCTTTTCTTTTCTTTTCTTTTTTTTTTTTTTGAGATGGAGTCTCACTCTGTCGCCCAGGCTGGAGTGCAGTGGTGTGATCTTGGCTCACTGCAACCTCCACCTCCTGGGTTCAAGCCATTCTCTTGCCTCAGCCTCCTGAGCAGCTGGGATTACAGGTATGAGCCACCACACCGGGCTAATTTTTTATATTTTTAGTAGAGACCGGGTTTCACCATATTGACCAGGCTGGTCTCAAACTCCTGACCTTGTAATCCACCCCCCTTGGCCTCCCAAAGTGCTGGGATTACAGGTGTGAGCCACCACGCCCGGCACGGCCAGCTTTTTTCTTTAGTTTCTGAGCATTGCTGCTTACACCACTACCCTTGCACCACTACACCATGCCCTGAGCAGAGGGCAATAAGGTGGGTAAGATGTTGTCCCTGCTTTTGAGATGTTTATAGTCCATTTGGGGAAGACTCAGGCAAATAACTAGACAGTTCCAGCCCAGGAACCCTAAAGGAGCCAGTAGTTGGGAGCACCTGGGAGGGCTCTCACACCCAGGCTGGGGGACTGGGGATGCTGCCTGGTGGCAGAAAGACAGGGGTCCCTCTAAAGTGCCTTCTAGGTCTGATGTCTTACATGTGGCTCTGAAGAGAAAAAATAAGTACAGAATCACAAGAGTGTGGTAAAAAAAAAAAAAATCCTTCGGGGGAGAAAAAGACAGTCCATGAGAATACTGTCAAATTGTCTAATACCTTTATTCAATCGTGCTTGGAAAGAGGAAGCGAGGCAGACACGGGGCCCTGGAATCTGTGAAACACCTACCCCAGGTTTGCTCAGGTTGTTAAGGAATCTCCAGGGACATCCCTCTTCCCATTAGCATGGATTGGGCCTGCGAAGACACCGCAGCTGACTGATATCTGCTCTGTTAGATTACAAAGCCACGTAATTGCTGTTTGAGGTTCGAGTCATGGTGAGGGACTCATCTGCGTTTCTGTTCATTTGTATAGCAATTAATTTGTACCTAAATTAACAATAAAAATGGTTATGTGATCCAATAAAGTAGACATGATGGCAGAAAAAATAACCTCATCTGTTTTACCGTACTAGCAAGGCCAAATCGTCCTTTTCCCCTCCCACTGTTGTTTGTCTCTCTGGAGAAGGTTATTTTCAGGCAGGCAGAGCGGGAACCGGGTGTGCATGCTGGCCCCTGTCAGGGGTCCAGCCTCAAAGGCCACAGACAGGAAAATGGGATTTGCGTGATGTCAAGTATTGTTGACTTGTAAGGGTTCAGGAAGGTCACCACTGCAGCGTGCTCCCAAGGAAGGCCAGGAAACAGGCTCCCTGAAATTGTTTAAGGCGAAGACAGACACAAACTACCCGGGAAGATGTTAGCACACTTGGGCAGCATATGGCTAGCAGACACATTCTGTTTGGCATGAAAGGGTTTTTAAGTCTTTGGGTTTGTTTCCAATGTTTAAAAATTAGGATATTTCACATGAATATTCAGATTCACAATTCTCTTGAAAAGTTGGAAGATTGTTGACACTGTATCTACATTCCTGCCCAACAACATGTGGCTGGAGGTGAGTGGTCACTGTCCCTTTTGAAGTCAGGCAGTGTTTGCCAGTTTGCTTCAGTCCCCGCCTGGCTCCTGCAGGATTTCAGTTTGTGACCCTTGTTTTAGGATTTGCCTGGTCACTTACAGGAGTAACTTGCTTTGGTTGCTGTTTAGGTCGACTTCACTTTTTAACTTCCTGGAGTATTTTCCTTTCTCAGAATTTGAATCTCGGGCATGGAGGCTGCTCTCGGAACAAAGGTGTTACACTTGCTGCTGTGTTATTTCGTTCTGGCATTGAACCTGTTGCCATAGAACCATAGACCTCTCCAGAGGGAACTTACTTTGGAGAATAGCTTGTCCACTTGCCTCTTTTAGGAACTAAGGCTCAGAGAGGCCAAGTGACTTGTTCAAGGTCACACAGCAACTTGAGACAGAGCCAAAACTGGAACCAGTTCTCGTACTTTTCCTACTATCTTTCAGCCTCTTCTGGGGTGCTCAATCATGATATTGCATGACCCAAAGAAAGAATATAATTTCCCAGGTCATTGTGCAATCTTTTCACCTTGGAAAAGTTTGAACATTTGGAGGCCTGTGGGGCATGGCTGTCTGCTCTCCAAGATGACCCCTGGTCACGGAATGCAGTGTTCAAAGCTAGTTTCTGATACCATCTGTTGATTCTAAGAGCCTTGAACTGGGAGTGAGGCCAGCGAGGTTCTAGTCTATCTCTGCCTCTTACCAGCTGTGTGAGCTTGGGCAAGTTTCCTCACCTCTCTGAGTCAGAATTTCCCAAGTGAAAGACAGGAGTGCCTGCCTCACAGGATGTTATCATGATCACAGGACAGAACAAAAATTAAAGTTCTCAGAAAAATGTAAAAAGTTAGATAAATGCAAGTTACTATTATGGGCTATTAAGCTGAGATATTAGAGACTCTCAGAATTCTCTCTTTTCACAGGTGAGAAAATGGAGGCTCAGGAAACAGGGTCATCCAGCCAGTGACCAGTTCAGATTAGCAAGCAGGTCTCCTGTCCTCCCTGCCACAGCCACAGTTGGAATCACGGATCTCAGTTAAAGCCATCTGGCCCCAAGCACGTGGGCAGCTGGTCATGGGGTGAAATGGGAAATGCCCTAACCTCCCCTTACAAGAGTCTGTGGAAGCAGAGTCCCAGCCTCAGGAACAGAATCATTAAATCCTGCTCATTTTAAGGGCAGAGGCAGAGAGGGAAGGAAGGCTCTGTCCCTCCTCATCCACCCAAGACTGGGATTCTGGGTAGCACTGACTCAGAAGAGGCTTGGAGACCCCCAAGAGCAGGCCCCCGCACTTGCTGGTGGCTGATTCCCAGCCTGTGGGCATGGATTTGGGAGGAATTACACTGTGCAAATGAACACGGTTTTTGCAGACTTGTGGGACCTGCCAGCTCTCTCAGTTTAACTAGATCTCTGCAGTGACACCCAGGCATGTTCCGCATTAAATCAGAGCTGGTAATTTCAGAGGGAAACAGCTCTGAAATGGCATGAAAGACAAAAATCTGTTCCTTGCAAAATGACACCATATGTGCCTGCATTGCTGCAGTTAGGGTAAAAGGCTTTTCCTCCCTCGGTGACTCATCAAGCTGCCGATGTTAATGTCAGATTTGCAACAGAACCATATACTAATGGAACCCAAATTAGCTCTAAAATTAGCTCTTAACAAGAAACTCAAGGCCAGCTCAAGGCAAGCAGATTTCTCTGACTGTGAGAGACAGAAAGCACTTTAGCAAAGCAGCCACATATTGATATTCTCAAGCTTCAAAAAAGATCACTCTTTGCTCCGGGTGAATTGCCCAGGAAGAATTGTGCACAGCCTGCTGTCTGCCTATGCGTCAAGAATGTAGCAGCCAACCTGCAGTTGTAAGGAAACCTTCCACAAAACAAAGAAGCTATTGAGAGCTTAGAGTGTGAGTGAGAGAGAGAAGGACTCGGGGGATTGGATCTGGGTGGGGAACGGGGTCCTGGGAGCGGCGGTGTTCAGATTTACAGTATGTTCCAGCATCACTGTTTATCTAACACCTTTAGAGAGCCCAAGGATTACGGAGAAATCAGTTATGGCAAATATCTACATGGATAAACGATATTTAGCAGCTGAAATGGATTATTGTGAGTTCTCTTCCACCATCCTTAAAAATTATGAACTGATTTTTTTTTGTTTTTTGACATGGAGTCTTGCTGTGTCGCCCAGGCTGCAGTGCAGTGGTGTGATCTCGGCTCACTGCAGCCTCCACCTCCCGGGTTCCAGCGATTCTCCTGCCTCAGCCTCCCAAGTAACTGGGATTACAGGTGCCCATCACCACGCCTGGCTAACTTTTGTATTTTTAGTAGACATGGGTTTTCACTATGTTGCCCAGGCTGGTCTGGAATTCCTGACCTCAGGTGATCCACCCGCCTCGGCCTCCCAAAGTCCTGGAATCACAGGTGTGAGCCATCGTGCCTGGCCCCTAACTGAAAAATTTGTTAAAGAGTGTCCTTTCAGTAGCACGTTTCTAAGATATTCACAGAGCAGCAGACTCTATTAACAGGTCTCAGTCTACCCAAGTTTTTGCTGCTCCTGACGGCTCGGCAAGCCCCTCAAGGGCCCCGGCGGGAATTTGGAAGTCAATGAGTCAGCACTGTGAAGGCCACTTTGTTTTTGGAGTTTACTCCAGGGTTTGTGGACCAAGGCTGAGAAGGGGCGGAGGGTGTAGGAGGTAGGATGGGTGATTAGAGCCACTGAAACCTACCCAAGAGGGAAAAAAGGATTAAGAAAATAAAGATGCAGCTGGGGAGTAGGAGGAGGAAGATGGCATTAGTTTAGGGGCAGCTGGCTTGAATTAGGCACCTCCCATCGGGAAAAATGCATCCAACTCTTGTGGATGAAACATTGACATTCCCTTGCACTCAAGGAAGCAGCGCACTCCTGTTTGGCTAAGGAGTACCTCTGAACCTGACGTTTTGGGGCATGTGAGTTCCATTTAGTTTCACACTCTCACCACTGAGCATTTTTGGTTGGGCATTGGGGTTGGCTGCACTGAATAAGCCCTCCTCTCAGTCTACTGGGATGATAAAATAGGTACAGAGATAACCGAAATATAAGCTAGTGGGGAGGAGTGCTCTGAGGAAGGACCCAAGAAACTGCTCTGGGGCTACAGATGAAGGAGAGATCAGTTTTATGTTGCATCAGGAGGAGTCCTCACGGAAGAGGTGGCATCTGAACAGGGCCTGGAAGGATGAGTAGCAATAAGTTATGGGACCTTTAGACCAGTGGAGATCATTAACCCAACATACAAACAAGTCCCTCTGGGACTCAATCCATTCTGGCCATGACTCAAAGCCAGGCTGAGCTTTCCTCTCCAGCTGGCTCCCTTCTCTTGAAGTGTGCTAGAGAAGAGGCAGTGAAGCAACAAGACACAGGGCAAGGACAAGTCTGGCAACCCAGGGTTGCTCTGGATGAAGGTGAGAACAGGGGAGCAGAGACAGCGTGTCCTTAGACAAAGTCCTGGGTGGAAACGAACACTGAGCCTGCCAATGCAAACAGCAGCAGCAGCAGCCACCGATGGCTCATGACTGTGCCTTCCCAGAGCGACTGAAACCTGCCTGTGATTCCTCTGTTGCCTCTTCCTTCTGTCCCTAGGCTTCAACCTGGCAATTAACCCCTTCATTTAGGGGCAAAGAGAAGTCAAACTTAATCAGTTTTCTGACAGCTCTGATACTGAATTACAACAGATTACTTAGAAAGATAAGAAGTCGAGATATTTATTTGCATAGTTGACTCCTACAAAATGATAGTTTTTTGGACTTTGCAATCACACACGAAGAGTTTCTAGGATTACTATGGGGTGTGATTCAGTTTCAGGGTTGCAGTTGAACCATTGCTGACAAATGGCACCCCTTCATTAAGACCCATTTGTCTCCCACTCTGTCCCTCCCGCTGGGTAACTGTGGAACAACAGAAACTCTAAGCCTGGATGAAGAGATGTTGGTTAATGGGTGCAAACATGCAGCTAGGTAGAAGGAATAGGCTCTATAGTTCAGTAGCATAGTAGGTGACTAACAATAACTTATTACACATTCCAAAATAGCCAGAAGAATTGGAATGTTCCTAACACAAGGAAATGATAAATGGTTGAGGTGATGGCTATCCCACTTACCCTGATTTGATCATTACACATTGCATGCATGTATCAAAATATCACAGGTACCTCATAAATATGTACAACTATTATGTATCAATTAAAAATTATCTAAAAATAAAATTCACCATTTTAACTATTTTTAAAAACCTCTGTTTGTGAAGAAAAATGATGGTGTTGTGGAAAAAGCTCTAGCTTGCATTGTAATCCAAGCTCAGCATGAAAAATTGCTGTGTATCTGACTGATTCATTTAATTTCTTTGCATTTACCCTCTTGGGCAATGAAATGAAATGGTGTGTATAAATGCGCTCTGTGAAAGATACAGTACTATACAAGTGCTAGTTGTTAGTAATGATATATGTACCGCCTCACAGGGCTGTTATGAGTCTTCTTTAAGAGTGCTCTTCCAAAGAAAGTTATTGTCAGAAATTCTAGAATCTTCTAGCTTCAGAAAGAAGTGCAGCTGCAATAAAGGTTTATCGAATTATCAACAACTGAAGGAAAAAGTAAAGCCCAGAACACATTGTATTAGGTTAACTAGAATCACAACTGGCAGAAACATATTTCTTATTAAATAAAAAAAAAATCTCTTCAGTGAGACAAATGTCAAGTTCTCTAATGATGTTTATAAATCAATTTTTAAGACGAATAACTTGCTATCATAATCACTCATTTTTCCTGGCACTGCTTGGCAGGACAAATCTCATAAATGCACAACCTTTCGTGTCAGTACAAATAGATCCATCTTCTCTGATTATCTCTACAGTTTAGGACCTGCAGTGCAAAGATACCAACATTAGCGGGCATGGGCTTTATTTGTATCTTTTTCTAAATTGGCCAAGAGCTTCATGGGGTGGTTTGCAATAAACCTTACTCAATAAAACAAGCCCCCTTCGAATATATCTCTCGAACTCAAGAAAAGGACTCCCAATTTTTTTAAAAAACAACAACAAAACTTGTACATAAATGGAAAGTGTATTAGTTCGCTGAGGCTGCCAAAACAAAGTGCCACAAATTGGATGGCTGAAACAACAGAAATTTATTTTCTCACAGTTCTGAAGGCTAGAAGTCTGAGATCAGGATGTTGGCGGGTTTGGTTTCTTCTGAGGCCTCTCTACTTGGCTTGCAGACGGCCACCTTCTCGAGGGTCGTCACATGGCCTGTCCTTGGTGTGTGTGCACCCCTGCTGTTTCTTTGTGTGTCCGAATTTCCTCTTATTATAAGGACAGCAGTCAGATTGGATTAGGGCCCACCCTAACAGCCTCGTTTTAACTTAATCAGCTCCTTCACACCCCTAGCTCCAAATAGAGTCACATTCTTAAGTACTGGGGATTAGGGCTTTAGCTTATGAATTTGGGTGGACACAATTCAGCCTATATGAGGAAGAGAGTATCTGTGTAACCTCTGATGAAACAAAATGCCCATGGATATCATCCACTAGACCAGTCAAAGACAACTCACTCAGACCCTTCTCTTGCACAAATTGCATGCCCCGGTCACATGTGTTTTGCCCACCCGTGGGGCTGTGTGTGGCCCATGCATGGGCACAAACAGCGCAATGCAGCACCCTCCCGTCAAAGCGGCCCCATGGGAAGGCGGTGGGGCTTATCTGTCAAGGTCAAGGTCAGCTGTGCTGGCATCTGAACAGCAGCTGCTGAAGCAGTGGGAAGCAATGGGGATAGGGCGGAGAGGACCATGAAGCTTTTCCACAAACCCCGTGGGTTCTCCTCCCCCTGATAATTTTTTTTTTTCTAAAGGAATTTATCCTAGCTAGTTATGAAATCAGGAAGCCAACCTAGAGTTTCTGGAGACCTGATCCCTTTCCCCCAGCCCCAAATCTAATAGACAACATCAGATGGGGAGGACAGAGATAGAAAACATTGTCTCCTTAGCAATAGCCTCTGCCCTTTCCGATTTCCAAAGAAATCCACAAAGCAAAACAAATGTGCTCAAACACCACCTCACCCCACCCTGCACATGGGAGGCCTGGGCCCTGCAGTCTGGAAGCTTCCTGATTTTCCTGTGGGAACAGTGGGTGTGCTTTGAGGCATGCTCCAGAATGCCTGGAATTTTCCACCTGTGGCCCTCCCTGCCAGCTACAAGCCTAGGCCAGAGTGACAAACAGAACCAAGGGAAGCATAGCTTTTAGTCTAATGCACAAGGATCATGCAGAGACTCAGAACTAAATCAATCACGACAATGATCAGAACTATGGTGTGCCTTCTATGTGCCAGGCATTCACATGTATGATACAATTCAACCCTCGTCCCTGCCACCATGAGGCTGAGACCTTTACCTTCATTTTACAGGTCAGGAGGCCCAAATTCAGCAAGGCTCAGCAACTTGCTTCTTCAACCTCAACACCAGAGTCTGTGAGTGGCAGAGCTGGGGTTCGAACCAAAGCTAGGACATCTCTCCTCCACACTATGCTGACTGCCCTGTGCCCAAGCCACAAATAACATAGAGCCATGGGACCCACAGGGCCACAGTCACTGAAGTCAGCACCAGATGGTTCTCTTCTGCCTCTGCCAAGTGTAGCCTCAGGACTTAGCACATGGAAGGCTTTCAACAAAGGGGAATTGAACTGAAGTATCACTAGGTCATGACACAAGCCACACAGGTCATTGGGGCAAAGGCCAACACCCTGATTCTGAACAAAGGTACTGATCGGAGGCCCAGGGGAGCCCTTGCTGGATGAGTAGAGTGCTGGCCTGTCAGCCACAGAGGGGTGCTCAGCTTTGGTCCCGCAGGGTGAGGGGGCAAAGCAAGTGAAAAAAAAAACATATTTCCAGGCCCTGAAGGAATGAGCTACGGTGCCACTCTTCTTCCCCCTTTCCAGTGAGTGGTGCTTAACCCAGGGTTTTTTTGTTTTGTTTTGTTTTGTTTTGACAGAATCTCACTCTGTCGCCCAGGCTGGAGTACAGTGGCATGATCTCTGCTCACTGCAACCTCTGCCTCCTGGGTTCAAGTAATTGTCCTGCCTCAGCCTCTCAAGTAGCTGGGATTACAGGCGCCCACCACCACGCCTGGCTGATTTTTGTGTTTGTAGTAGAGATGGGGTTTTGCCATGTTGGCCAGGCTGGTCTTGAACCCCTGACCTCAGGTGATCTGCCCCACTCAGCCTCCCAAAGTGCTGGGATTACAGGCGTGAGCCACCATGCTCAGCCCATCCAGGGTTTTTACAGTAATTTCTATTCTGAAACTGCAACTTCGCCAAGAAGACAGACAGTGGAGAGAAGTTACGTCTAACACTGTCCCTGTGTTCTTCTGGACAAATCGTTCCCCATCATTTGCCTTTTGCTTCCTTGGCTGCCAAACTGGGCCAATAGTGCTGACCACATTTTCCCTTGGGGGAAAGCAGAAAGTGTTTACATCCAGCAGAGCTCAGAACTCCTGGAGAAAAGTGCTGGATAAACATGGTACCTGTACCACTCAAATGGAATCCCGCGTTGTTTTTACTTTCACTGCCAAGCTAAAAGTATGTTGCATTTCAAATTTGTCCTCTAAAGCTTTAAAAGCCTTTTTCATTTCCTGAGTGCTTTGGGAAGGAAGGTACTAATCTGTTTTAGAAAACAGTGTATTTTCTCTTTTGGAATTTGGGATCTCTCAATCTAGTCATTAATTTCTACTTACAGACCCTCTTCCTTGGCACGTGTCCATCCAAAGGTTATAGAAACACTATTAATCTAGGGGGAAGTTCTGCCTCAGCCTTTCATTCCTCATGGAGAGCAAGTATTTGTAATTCCTCCTTTTTTAAAGAAATCTAAACTCACTTCTTCCTTGAAGACCTTTCTAAATAGCTATTGATCTTCCCCACCTTGGGTCGGCCATTAGTGCTGGGTCCTCAGGAGTGCTTTAATGCCTTGCCTTTATTTGGGATTCTATTTGCTCCCTGAGGCCCTCTGGGGGTCTGCCTCCCAGTTAAGGATGAGCAGGTCCCAGCGGGCTTTCCGGTGGGTCGCAGCACAGCCACATCTCAACCCAGGCCAGACGGTGGGGAAGTGAGCTCGCCTGAAGCCCCCACTGCCTCCTAGCATCTCCACCCACGGCCGGGTTCCATCTGGCTCCTGCTTTCGGTGGTTTGCCAGCAGGCAGGCACCTGTGAAGAGCTAACTGGTAACTAAGGGGACAGCTGCTTGTAATAAGATGCAGGACTGCCCTTGCACCCTTGAACCAGACCCCTCTCAGGAACCTGCAGGTACTCTTTGGCCTCTCCAAAGGCCGCTCGTTTCAGTCCCTCCTTCTCTCCCTTGACAACTCCATGTAGGTGCCAACAAGCCAACAAAACCAACAAACTTCACCTGAGCCCAGCCCAACAGTGTCTCACCTCAAGGCCACACCATTCACCACTGGTCATGAGGCTTCCCTGTTGACCCTGTGATATGGTGTGGCTCTGTGTCCCCACCCAAATCTCATGTCGAATTGTAACCATGTCAGGGGAGGGATCTGGAGGGAGGTGCTTGGATCATGGAGGCGGATTTCCCCCTTGCTGTTCTCATGATAGTGAGTGAGTGCTCATGAGACCTGATGGTTTAAAAGTATGGCACTGGCCAGAGGTGGTGGCTCCCACCTGTAATCCCAGCACTTTGGGAGGCCGAGTTGGGTGGATCACCTGAGGTCGGGAGTTGGAGACCAGCCTGACCCACATAGAGAAACCCTGTCTCTACTTAAAATACAAAAAATTAGCTGAAAACTTAGCTGGGCTTGGTGGCGCATGCCTGTAATCCCAGCTACTTGGGAGGCTGAGGCAGGAGAATCGCTTGAACTCTGGAGGCAGAGGTTGCGGTGAGCTGAGATGGCACCATTGCACTCCAGCCTGGGCAACAAGAGTGAAACTCCGTCTCAAAAAAAAAAAAGTGTGGCACCTCCCCACTCGCTCTCTCGCTTTCCTGCTCCACTGTGGTAAGACGTGCCTTGCTTCTCCTTCGCCTTCTGCCATGATTGTAAGGTTGCTGAGGCCTCCCCAGCCGTGGGGAACTGTGAGTCAAACTTTTTTTCTTTATAAATTACCAGTCTCAGGTAGTTCATTATAGCAGTGTGAGAATGGACGAATCTACCCTGACACATAAAGGCCCTGTGGCTTGGCTGGTGTTCATGGATGTGTAATCCAGAAGAGTGGAGTCTTTGTGCCCCATGCACCAAATATCTCCAGTAGGAGATAGGGGCCAGCAGAAAAAGTATCTTTTCCTCTCCAGACCAAGGAGTGTTTGATATGGTTGTTTTATGGCTGCTCAGAAGATGGCTTCATGAAATGTGCAGTTGTGGTCAATATCAAGTTGTGGCCAGCTTGAAGACATGCCCTTCTGATATATATATATATATATATATATATATCTCCTGTCCTTCATAAGGATATGAGCTTGTTAGAAGGTCAGTCTTGCCAGGTGCAGTGGCTCATGCTTGTAATCCCAGCACTTTGGGAGGCTGAGGCGGGTGGATCACCTGAGGTCAGGAGTTTGAGACCAGCCTGGCCAACATGGAAACTTTGTCTCTACTAAAAATACAAAAACTAGCCAGGTGTGGTGGTGGGTACCTGTGATTCCAGCTACTCGGGAGGCTGAGGCAGGAGAATTGCTTGAACCTGGGAGGCGGAGGTTGCAGTGAGCCGAGGCTGTGCCACTGCACTCCAGCCTGGGCGACAGAGCAAGACTCAGTCTCAAAAGAAAAAAAAAAAAGGTTGGGGTGGGGGTAGTCTTGAAGGAGGAGCTATTAAGACTCAAAGAAAGGCATTCTAATGATGGAATTATGGACACTGGGGTTGAAGGGGGTAATGTCAATCCAGATTTGCAGAGAGAGGAAAAGAGAGAGGGAGAGCGTGAGCATGTTGGGTGGGAAGGGATTGCTGCTGTCTTTTGCTGCCTTGTCTTCTCACGCCTCCTCTTCCTTCTGCCCTTGCCTCGACCCAAGCTTTTCTCTGCCTGGCTGTGCTGTGACATGCTTTTTTTTCCACTTGTACATTCTGTTTCCCAAGGTGTTTCATCCCAGAGAAACACCTGCTCCCTCTGAAGGAGGTTGCCTGAATTATAAATGAGCCTCCAACAGAGAACATGTGCTCTTTTCCTTCTTTTTCAGAAGAAAAAGGCCCAGACAAGTGTCTACTGAATTTCCTTGTTTTTCAGAAGGAAAAGAGAAAAAGAGGTAAACAAGTGGCCAGAATGTTTCTCTGAGCATCCCAGGACGATGCAAACCTCACTTCCCTTTACCTCAGACCCCTGGTTTGAATCCTGAAGCCAACCTCAGGGGGGTTGTCACTCATTCTGACCACCAATACTTTTGTGTGTTCTGGGCCTCCCCAGCCCTGTTCCTTGCCCTCCCTCTTCCTCTGTGTGGGTGTGCCCTCCTTCTCCCCTGTCTCTACATGTCCAAATACTATGTATTCAAGACTCAGAACAAAATGCTAGCTCCTCCAGGAAGCCTTCCTGGGTTCTCGAATTGGACATGATCTCTCCATCCTCAGTCCTTTTCCTTCCTAATTTCCCTGCCTCCTACGAGTGGGACTCTGGCCAATTTCCCTTAGTCAGTCAGGTAAAAGGCCCTGCTCGTGGTAGCTGGTCAGGAAATAAAGAAGAAAGGCAGGAAGGGTGGAAAGAAGGGGAGAAGGGAGACTCTACGGGCCCAGACAAGTGTCTACTGAATTCAGAACATGGCAGGGTCAGCAGACGATTTTCCTTTCTTCTCCTTTGTGTGCACTTCTGGGGCTGCTAATGACAAGTCACAGCACAGAGTGTGAAATCTGCCGCTCTCCCAGGGGGCTCCGTCTCAGGTCATTCTCCTCACTGCTTCCCACTCCCTCACTGAAAAGCCTGCATCCAAAGCCCATTACTGGCTCCAGGGTGTGGACCTTGCAGGGAAGAACTGTGTAAGGACAAGACAAAGAGCAGGGCTGAGTGCCGAGTGCCCGGTCAGTGGGGAGGGGGATGTGCTGTGGGATGAGGAGCCCCTGGTTCCTCATCTCCTGGTTTTATCCTCGTCCTCCCCGCCCAGCGAACACCCTCCTCACCCTAACCGTCTATCTTGTTGTTTCCTGTGAGTTTGGTGTCCTCTCCTTCCATTAAAGCTTCCATTAAACCTCTCTGAGGTTCAAGTCTCTGGTGGCCAGACCTATTGTCTTACACATTTAGACAATGCTCTTCTGCTCATGGGCAGCCATCAAATATATGTGTTGACTTATAAAAGATATACCATCTCTTTTTTTTTTTTTTTGAGACAGTCTATATGTGTTGAGTTATTAAAGATAGACTTTTTTTTTTTTTTTTTTTTTTTTGAGACAGAGCCTCGTCTGTCACCCAGGCTGGAGTGCAGTTGCACGATCTTGGCTCACTGAACCTCCACCTCGCAGGTTTAAGTGATTCTCCTGCCTCAGCCTCCTGAGTAGCTGGGACTACAGGTGCCCACTACCATGCCCAGATACTTTTTGTATTTTTAGTAGAGACGGGGTTTCACCATGTTGGCCAGGCTGGTCTTGAACTCCTGACCTCAAGTGATCCACCCACCTTGGCCTCCCAAAGTGCTGGGATTACAGGCGTGAGCCACTGCGTCCAGCCTATAAACCATTTCTTAATCCAAAGAGCTTGAAGTGCAAGGAGACCCTCCCCTGAAGGCAGGGCTGTCTCCTGGAGACATGGGTGAGGCATATTGGGGATTCAAGTGGCCGAGTCTTCTGCTTCATGCTGCCCAGGCATCCTGGAGAGCTGCCGGATGAAATAGAAGACACCCAGATAAATTTGAATTTCGGGTAAACAATGAAAGTAGTATACGTTTATCCCATGCAATATTTGGGACATACTCATACAAAAAATTATTCATCATTTATCTGAAATTCATTTTAAGTGGATATCCTGTTTTTTGTTTGTTTGTTTGTTTGTTTTTGAGACAGGGTCTCCCTCTGTCACCCAGTCTGGAGTGCAGTGGTGCAATAATGTTTCACTATAGCCCCGACCTCCCAGGCTCAAGTGATCCTCCCACCTTAGTCTCCTGAGTAGCTGGGACTACAGGTTTGCACTACCATACCTGGCTAATTTTGTTTATTTTTTGTAGAGACAAAGTCTCACTATATTGCCCAGGCTGGTCTCAAACTCCTGGACTCAAGCAATCCTCCCATCTCAGCCTCCCAAAGTGCTGCAATTACAGGCGTGAGCCACTGTGCCTGGCCCATCCCGTATTTTTATTTGCTTAATCTGGCAACCTTTCCTTAGAGGCTCCTGGAACGCGCCGCTGCAGTCATTCCGGCGCACCCAGTTAGAGCTCCTGCTCTGGGCCACTGAGACCAAAGAGAAATGGTGTCAGCTGTGAGAAACTTGGTAAGTTTGTAGATTGTTGACTTATTCCCTCCAAACAATTTTGCAACTAAAAAAGAAGGAATACTTTTTTAGAATTCCTTTTAAATGTAGGTTAAAATGTGTTTTGTCATATTGTATATGTTAGATATCATAGAATCTATTAAATTTAAACAGGAATTTACAATTTACAAGAGTGTGGCCACATACATTCTTTTTTTTTTTTTTTTTTTTTTGAGACGGAGTCTCTCTGTGTCACCCAGGCTGGAGTGCAATGGTGCAATCTTGGCTCACTGCAACCTCCACCTCCTGGGTTCAAGCGATTCTCCTGCCTCAGCCTCCTGAGTAGCTGGGATTACAGATGCCTGCCACCACGCCCAGCTAATTTTTGTATTTTAAGTAGATACAGGGTTTCACCATGTTAGGCAGGATGGTCTTGATCTCTTGACCTCGTGATCCACCCACCTCAGCCTCCCAAAGTGTTGGGATTACAGGCATGAGCCACCGCACCTGGCCATACATTCTTTACTCTCAAGATTATTCCCCAAAACACCTGGACAGGAAGGTAGACAATCACCACCTGTTTCATAGTTGAGGCACCCAAGGCCCAGGGAGTTAAATGATTTGCTGACAGTCCCAGGAATAGTTACAGTGCAGCCAAAGCAGGTCCTGAGGCTTAGGCTCCTGGTTCAATGCTCCTCACTCCTGTACAGCTTGCCTCCTGCTCAGGCTATTGGACTCCAAGTTAATTAGGCAGCAAAGAACTCTGGGAGGAGCTGAAAATGAGGGGAAGTGCCTGGAGAGGCTGGCATAGGGTGAGCAAAGCAGAATGGCATGTTTTAATTGATTTTTGATTGTGCCAACGACTGCAGGCTCCTAGGGCAAGCAACTGCTGCTTCTGAGTCAGCACCCTTGCGTGAGGCTCAGCCTTCCCAGAGTGCAGGCATTGCTGGCTCTTTTTGTTCTCCCCCGAGCTCTTTGTGTGGGAAGTGGGTCTGTACAAAGCAGAAGGTTTCTTCTTTAATTGGCCAAACAGCTGGGAGCCTGGAGTCCTGGGAATACGGTCCAGGGTCACCTACAGCTCTCCCCATCCTTCCACCCAGCTTATCCTGGAAGCCCCAAGAGACGCAGCTCTGCTGATGCAGCTAGACACAGCTCCGAAGACACCACAGGAAGCTTTGGAAGCACAATATACTTTGTGAAGAAATTTGAAAACTTCAGTGCTACTTAGCAAGTTTCTTGGCATTAGCAGTTATCCAGGGACTCCCAGCGGGTATCTACCCAGCTGGAGAAAGAAATATTCCAACAGGAAGGAAGAAACTCTCCAATCTCACTGCAGGCCTGGATATTTGGAAAGATCTCATCACCAGACAGGGTGAAGGACACTGGACTTTGACTTTTGGACTCACATAGCCAATGGCTTGCTTGGCGTCTTCACAAAGATATCTAACAAGCATCTCAACCCTAACAGAACTCTCGGTTCCTTCCCTCTCATCCCCAACATACGCCCCCACTAATGTTCCCCATTTCAATAAAATAAATGGTTTTGGCTTAAGCCAAAAGCCTAGACTCCTCCTCGATTCCTCTCTTTCTCACATCTCCACAGCCAACCTATCGGCAAGACCTTCTGGCTCAGCCATCACAAGGTATCTCGAATCTGTCCACTTTCACTCCTTCTTCATTGCTGCCATGTGCTTCCAAGCCACCAGCATCCATTCAAACAACTCAGTTAGGTCTGTCCGTGGCCACCCTGGCTCTATGACAACCCATTTTCCCATACAGCATCCCGAGACCCTAGGCGACCTGGCTGCTGTCTACCTCTCCCACAATGAGCTTCTCTTCCTTCAGGTAAGAACTGGAATGTTACATGACCCTGTTCAATTTCATCAGTGTACTTAGAAGAATCAGCCATTTTAATACTCGTTCATTTGTGTTTGTTGTCACGCCTCCCTCATTTGATGAGGGTGGACCATGTCTTATTCTCTGCTAATTTGCCAGTTTGCATGTATGTTCATTTCCCAGGACACAGTAACAAAGTACCACGAACTAGGTGGCGTAAGATGATAGAAGCTTAAGCCAGGCATGATGGCACGCATCTGTAGTCCCAGCTACTCAGGAGGCTGAGGCAGGAGGATCTCCTGAGCTCAGGAATTTTAACTTAAAAAAAAATTTATTTCTTGCAGTTGTAGAGGTTAGATGTTGGAAATCAGGGTGTTGGTGGAGCCATCCCCTCTCTGAAGCCTCTAGGGTAGGATACTTCCTTGTCTCTTCTAGCTTCTGGTAACTGCAGGCTTTCCTTGGCTTGTGGCAGCATAAATCCCATCTCTGCCTCCATCTTCATATGGCAATCTTCCCTCTGTATGGATGGCTCTGTCCCTTCTCCTCTTCTTATGAGGACGCCCAACCATATTGGAGTCAGGCCCGCCCTGCTCCAGCATTACCTCATCTTAACTTGATTACATTGGCAAAGACTGTAT